>NC_000022.11:28861079-29012594 GCF_000001405.40 Homo sapiens | reverse complement strand
CACTTCAGTTATCCACAACTATCTAAAATTGATTGTATCATTCACTGACCAGCTTGATACTTTGGTCCCAGAGAGCTCTACTCAACTGCCTTTCCAGGGCCAAAGAGAAATGAAATTGAGCAGAATCATCAGTTCGAAGACCTTGAGAATACTGGGTAAGTCAATGGTGCACCCACAACAAAACAACACTGGCGTGGGCAGGTTCTCCACGTATGTGATACTTCTGGATGTTTTGAGAACTAAGGTGATCAATTTGAAAGAGAGCATAGTCCCTCTGCTTCACTGTTTAGATCCAATAGTGAAGACCCAAATAGAAGGCTGAGGAGATAAGAGGGCTCCACACCCATTCAATTGGACCTTGGCCCTAGTGCCTCAGAGCTACAGTTCTCTCTTACTGCTTTGCATTTTGTTCACACTGCTGTTCTCCTTTGGAAGTTAAGAAACTTCACTTGCACTCTAAGCACGGATTTGAGTGTCTCACGGGGCAGGGGCAACATAAGATCCAACTTGGCTAGCAACTTCAAACGACTTGGCCAATCCAGGTGACCCAGCTGCTCCGGCCCAGACCAGGCCTTTTTGTTTTGGATTAGGCTGGTTGCAGGGTCCCCCGGCTGTGGTGGGCCCACATTGTCGGCTTGTTGCTTCTTTCCCAAAAGAGGATCTTGTTACAAAGAGAAGCTGGAAATTTCTTTGCACACAAGCAGAGACATGGTGGCCCTGCAAAGGCCCCAGGGTAAGGATTAAAGAAAAACAAAATAGAAACCCTTCCATCTCTAATTAGGGTCTTCATTTGCCAAAGTGCCATTCCCCAGCGGGAGGATTTACATTCAGGCTGTTGCTTGGAGTTACTTGGAAAACGTCTCCCAGCAGGTTGGTTCCTCGGTTCAGGCTCCTTTGAGCCAACAGTTTCTGGTTACTTAGAGGAGAGCTGCCTGCATATTGTTTTAACTGGCCTAGCTTCTGCAGCCAGCTTAGCTGTGTGAACAATCTCCCATTCAGAACCTAAAGATAAAAGCACAGTTTGGTTGAAAAATCTTTTTTATTTTTTAAATTTTTTTAAACTTGCGAATTATAGGTTTCGGAGCTAGCATTATTTCTCTCATACTCAAGAGTGTTTTTCCCCCTCTGCCTTTGGTTCTCTGCCAGCCAAGGCTGCATCCTGGAGTTCGGCCAGCCGCCAGTCCCCACTTCCTTGCCATTCACACCATAGGGCTGGTGGCAGCTGGCCACGGAGACGGACAGGAGCACCCCATTTGTAAGAGGTTGACCACAGAATAATGTAGCCAGCCTGCTGGACCCCCGCAGCCAGCCTAGGGCACCTTTTGTATACTTCCTCATCATTCTTTGTATTCACAACAGCATTTCTTCTTGCACATCAAGACCCCAAGAGCCTAGCCAGGGAAGCAAGAATTCTTTTCCTTTCTGAAATTCTTAGGGCAACAGTAAATTATAAACCAAGGCTGAGTAGGAAGATATGTTTGTGTAACCTTCTATGTGTTTAAAACAAAAAAAAGGTAGATGAAGATGAATTAAAGAGCAAGCACAAAAAAAGAGAAGAGACACCGAAAGCACAGGTGACGAAAGAAAAAATGGATAAAGTGGGCTTCATTAAGAGTCAAAACTTTTGGCCAGGCATGGTGGCTCATGCCTGTAATCCCAGCACTCTGGGAGGCTGAGGCGGGTGGATCACTTGAGGTCAGCAGTTGGAGATCAGCCTGGCCAACAGGATGAAACCCATCTCTACTAAAAATAGAAAAATTAGTTGGGCATGGTGGTGGACACCTGTAATCCCAGCTACTTGGGAGGTTGAAGCACAAGAACTGCTTGAACCTGGGAGGCGGAGGTTGCAGTGAGTTGAGATGGTAGCATTGCACTCCAGCCTGGGTGCAGAGTGAGACTCTGTCTCAAACAAACAAACAAAAATGAGAAAAAACTTTTGTGTATCAAAGGATACTATCAATAGGATGAAAAGGCAAGCCACAGGATGAGAAAGACTATTTCATGTATATCAGGTAAGGGATCAATATACAGAATATATATGGTAGCATTATTTACAGTAATCAAAAGGTGGAAACAACCTAAGTGTCCATAGATAGATGAATGAATAACCAAAACGTGGTATGTAGATACAATGGGATATATATAATTCCATCATAAAAAGGAATAAAATTCTGATACATGCTACAACAAGAGCGAACCTTGAAGGCATTATGCCACGTGAAAGAAGCCAGTCACAAAAGGACAAATACACGACTCCACTCACAAAAGACCTGGAGTGGTCAAATTCCTAGAGACAGAAAGTGGAATGGTGGTTGCCAGGGGCTGTGGGGAGGCAGAAGTGAGGAGCCTGGGTTTAATAGGTATGGAGTTTCAGTTTAAGAAGAGGGGCTGGGTGCGGTGGCTCATGTCTGTAATCCCAGCACTTTGGGCGGCCGAGGCGGGTGGATCACGAGGTCAGGAGATCGAGACCATCCTGGCAGACACGGTGAAACCCCATCTCTACTAAAAATACAAAAAAAAATTAGCCAGGCGTGGTGGCAGATGCCTGTAGTCCCAGCTACTCGGGAGGCTGAGGCAGGAGAATGGCATGAACCCAGGAGGCGGAGCTTGCAGTGAGCCGAGATTGAGCCACTGGACTCCAGCCTGGGAAACAGAGCGAGACACTGTCTCAAAAAAAAAAAAAAAAAAAGAGGAAAAAGTTCTGGAGATGGTCAGTGATGATGGGTGCACAGCAGAGTGAATGTGCTTAATTAATGCCACTGAACTCGTACACTTAATGGTGAAGCTTATATGATGTATATAGTTACCACCATTTTAAAGAGAGAGAGAAGATTCAAGGTCAAAGAATTAGGACCACAGAAGTGGGGAAATGAGAAGGCTGTTCATTTTTTTATGTTTCCTGGGTAACTTCTACCAAGTCCCACTTTTTAATTCAGGTATATAAAAATCTTCTTGGATTTTAAGTTTTAAGGTCTCTAATACATTACAAAGTTTTATTCCTCTCTTTTACTTAAATTGCCACAGAACAGTAATACACAGCAATATCATGGAAATGACCAGAATGGCAATCTATTTCTAGGCCTAAGCACATCCTGTTCCCTCCCTCCACCGCGCACTACTCTTCTGCATGCCTCTTTTTTTGAATTTATTTTTTTAAACTCTACTCTTATGACAGATTATTCTGCATGCCTCTTGATGCACTCCCTGGAAATGCCTTCCTTATCAAGGGGACCTTCTCCTGCCTGCTAAAACCATCACGCCCAGTCAAGTTGCTCTTTTTGACTGGCTCTGGGATACGCCACATGTTATTTCTGCTCCTGCCAGCCCCACTGCTGGAATTTCCTTCTTGGTCTCTTCCCTCCCCCAAACCCAGCCAGTCTTAAAAGTTGAGTTTCATCTCTTCTGTGAAGCCGTCCCTGCTGACAGACTATTGGTCCAGAAAGACTTTTAGGAAAAAAAGATGCCTAAGCCAAGACCTGAAGGATCCTGTCCTGATTCCCTCTTCACAGTGGCCCTGCAGTACCAAGGAGGGAGGCCGGAGTGCTGTGGGCACTGCAAAGCTGCTTGCTGAACATCAAGGGACCAGGGCAACCAGAGCAAAAAAGAGTTTGGATAGCTCTAGTTTTGAGACACAAGCTAAATTTAACATCCTGGACATGTCCACACCTTAAATTACAAACCCTAGCACAACAGCAGTATAAATCTTCTTAGTTAACAAAAAAGAGTAATTGGCTACCTAGATTATCACAGCCACAGAATTTAAACAAGAGAACTGCATTAGAAAATCAATTGCGAGTGGTACGAGATGTCCAACTTCCTTAGTCCTTCTGGTTAAAGCTGGTTAACAAGGATAGTTGTTGGTCTTACCAGTGAAAAACCAACAATCTTCTGAAAAATCACTAAATAAGTCAAGATCTATCACCAATGCACTTTCCACACACACAGCTGTGAATGAGTCCTAGGCCATCTCCTCCCTCTCCCTATTAAGGAAAACAGAACTCATTCATTCAGCCTTGAAGTTAGATGGCCTTGATGCTGACGAGAAAGGAAAGACATAAAACCCAAAAAAGTTCGAGTGAATCAGAACTTCAAGCCCCTCTTCACTGGTCTCTTCAAGACACACGCCTGGCATCTAAAATAGTCAAAGTAAATCATGCCACCATTAACTTCTGCAGGCCATGTTAGATAAAAGAATCTTAGGAGAGTTGGCTCAGAGCATGGAATAAGTGAAACCATCACCCTCAGGGAGAGCACAAACAGGGTCATCAGCAAACTCGTTCCTCGGGGGAATCCACAGCCATGGCCCAGTGCTCTGAAATGTGTGGTTGTGGTGCCCTGGCCAGACTCTGAACTATTCAGGATCTTCTACTCTCACTAGTAAGAATACAATCTGCTTATCAAACGAGACACAGTGATGATGACATTTTTGAACACAGATTAATTGTGCCACCCTCTCTTATTTCCTTCCTCATTGAGCATACAAATGAGAGAGGTACAATTTCAGGTAACTTTGCAAAAAGGAAAGAAATAGAATTTCTGAGCCGGGCGCCGTGGCTCATGCCTGTAATCCCAGCACTTTGGGAGGCCGAGGTGGGTGGATCACCTGAGATTGGGAGTTCGAGACCAGCCTGACCAACATGGAGAAACCCCATCTCTACTAAAAATACAAAATTAGCCAGGCATGGTTGTGCACGCCTGTAATCCTAGCTACTTGGGAGGCTGAGGCAGGAGAATTGCTTGAACCTGGGAGGCGGAGGTTGTGGTGAGCCGAGATCGCACCATTGCACTCCAGCCTGGGCAACAGAGTGAAACTCTGTCTCAAAAAAAAAAAAAAAAAAAAAAGGAAGAAATGGAATTTCTATGAAAGGGGCAAACTGATAAAAGAAAAAGGGGAGCTATGATAAAAATATTACAAAAGGGAACGATCAGGAGCAAATTAAAAGCTATAGGAGAGATTTGTTTTCTAGAGATGAGGTCTTGTCACCCCAGGCTGGAGTGCAATGGTGCGATCACAGCTCAGCTCACTGCAGCCTCAAACGATCCTCTTGTCTCAGCCTCCTGAGTAGCTGCACTATAAGTGGGTGCCACCAGGCCCAGCTAGTTTAAAAAAAAAAAAATTTGTAGAGATGGGGGTCTCGCCATGTTTCCCAGGCTGGTCTTGAACTCCTGGCCTTAAGCGATTCCCCTGCCTTGGCTTCCCAAAGTGCTGGGATTACAGGTATGAGCCACCGTGCATGACGTGAACAAGATAATTTCAGTGGGACGTTTTGTCCACTTATTAGGTTCCCAAGTACCCAAATGATGAGAAACCAGTTACCTAAATTTAACCAAACTTTCCCCCTAGAATCTGTTCAAAGTAATCCCAAAACCACTGGTAGGTACCCCTGTGAAGACCATTCATTAGAGCCAGGGGCCTTTGCTCCCACCCACCTCTGCCCAGACCAGCTGCATGACCACACACGTTATTCAAGTCGTTCTGTCCCCTCCTCCCTGCATTAGCAGCAAAATGATCATCTGATAACAATTCTCTCCGGGGATACTGTAAGGATTTCAGATAATGTGTGAAAACACCTGGCATACAGTAGGAATGCAATCATGACACCTGTTTTATGGTAGCCAGCATTCTTCTTCAGTTTGCTTTTCACAGGCATGCCAAATGTACTAACTTTTAGGTCTGTGTATGCATGTTCTAACAGAAAAGCATCTTTGGGATGCTGCGGCTCCTGGGCTAAGACTTTATCAAAACCTACCCTTAAAATGCTACATGTGGCCAGAGAAGACAGATTTTGGTACAATGATGGAAGCTTCAAGTCTGCAAGTTTTAGAAACCTTTTCCAGAATCATGAGTTACAAGTAGAAATTAGAGTTAATACCAAATAGGTGCACTTTATTCTAGTAATACAAAGGGCACATCTGAAATGGCCCTGAAATTCCCATCACTACACAGAAAGCCATGGAGCACAACTACTGAGAGTGTCTTCTGCAGGGGGCCACCCACACTCCAACAGCAGCCAGCCTGGAGACTGATAAGGAACCAGGAACGATAAGGAAAGACAATATCAGGAGTCAAAAGAGCCCAACTGGGCCAGGTGCGGTGGCTCACACCTGTAATCCCAGCACTTTCGGAGGACGAGGCAGGCAGATCACCTGAGGTCAGGAGTTCGAGACCAGCCTGACCAAATGGTGAAACCCCATCTCTACTAAAAATACAAAAGTAGCCAGGCGTGGCGGTACACGCCTGTAAGTCCAGCTACTCAGGAGGCTGAGGCAGGAGAATCGCTTTAACCCGGGAGGTGGAGGTTGCGGTGAGCCGAGATTGTGCCATTGCACGGTAGCCTGGACAAGAAGAACAAAACTGTCTCAAAAAAAAAAAAAAAAAAAGAAACGGATGATAAGAACCTTGATCACTGGTAATACTGGAGAAATGTCCAATTTCCCATACAGGCTCTATATAGTGCAATAAGCCCAAGGCAGATATTAATATTGTGAGCTCCAAGCTAGGGGAGCAGGCTTTGCATCTAAAACATAAGCTCTTCAGAGGACAGTCTTTTTTTTTTTTTGAGACAGAGTTTCACTCTTGTTGCCCAGGCTGGAGTGCAATGGCGCAATCTCAGCTCACTGCAACCTCTGCCTCCAGGGTTCAAGCGATTCTCCTGCCTCAGCCTCCCGATAGCTGAGATTATAGGCATGCACCACCACGCCCAGCTAATTTTGTATTGTTAGTAGAGACGGGGTTTCTCCATGTTGGTCAGGCTGGTCTTGAACTCCCGACCTCAGGTGATCCGCCCACCTCGCCTGGCCTGACAGTCACCTTTTAATTCCAGTGTCATCATGTAGCAGCCCTCCAAGATCACTAGACCACTGACTCTCTCCAGTCAGATGTGAGAGGCTTCATTCCCCTGCATTATTCAACAAATAAGCAAAGCCAAATTTCAAGCCTGGTGGGCAACTGCTCAGGCATCCTTGGCCCTGGAAGAGTGAACAGGTACCACCCTCACCACCCCAGCTGCAGGGAGAGGAAGCCCAGAGCTAAGTTCTTCAATTCCATTCTCTGCTGACCCAAAAGACATGGGTCTTCTTCCTCCTTTCCTCCTACCCCAAACAAGCTCATCTCTTTTCCTACAAGGGGCTTAGGCTTTGCTCTTTTCTTCAATTTCAGAAAGGTTCCTAAACAGAGGGATGTGAGGAAAGTTAACACTCTCTCACCAATCTATAAGCTCTATATCTCATAAAAATCTACAAGTAGGCACGTGAGGACTGATGTGCCACAAGTGTGTGTGCATCCACATGCTCTGCTGAGGAATATTTCTGTGAGGCTGCACAGCCTTGCTTGGCAAAGGCAAGGTTTTCCTCCTGGCAAGTGAGGGTCAGAGGCCTGGCTTGGAGGAGCCGCTTATTGTGAGCCTGGCTGGGGCAGGCAGCAGCGAGTGCTGGGAGGGGAAAGGTTCCCTTTGAAGCACATGGCGCTAAGAGCTTCCCAGTGACCATGGAAACAGGCGCAGTGGGTTCCCAGCCTGAGAACCAGGGAGAGCAGCCGTGATTCAAACACAAAACACACACAAAGGTCTGAAAAGCGGAGACAAGAGGGGCCAGAGTGAGGGGCAGGCAGTCCCTGGCTGGCAGGAACTGAGCGGCTCCCTGGTAGGAAAATCCGGCCAATGAAGCCGAGCAGGTTCACGGGGTTTCCTTTTCATTCCCGAAGCTTTCTTCTTGCTCTGTCCCTGCCCTTCGGGTCCTATTCAGCACCTCATCAGATCAGTAGAGTCGGGCCTTTGGCTGGCCTGCTGGCAGCAGGGACTGGAACCGGGCGGGAGGTGATCAAAGGAGCCGCCACTGCAGCCGCCACCCGCCCTCCTCCCTCCTCCACCCACCCTCCTCAGGATGAGGCCCTGCCAAGGTGATCCAGGGGAAGCCACTGGGGGAGGGCGAGGAAGAGAGGCAGTTCTCTGATGTCTGCCTTTCTGTTGAAGAGACACAAAGCACAGCTTGAAAGGAGACATGCCACTAGCTGGTCAGAGCTCCTTCCTTCTAAGATGTCTGTTCTTAAACCAGGTGACAGAGGGGCCACCTAGACTGGCGTGCTTCGGGTACACTTGGGATGCCCAGATTCTGCTGCTTTTGGGTCTTCTTTCATAGCTGTCTGCCTCCCAACCCTCGAGATAGATGAAGTTACAGAGACTGAAAAGGTGGCTCTTGTTATCTGACAGTATCTGAGATACTGTGCCTCCTAACTTCAGGGTTCCAATTTAACGGGAGAGAAAAATCTACCTGGGCTTTTTTTCAGCAAGGAAGAAGAAGCAATATGACTAAAGTCTGTTAAGGAGGAAAGATCCTCCACTTGCTGATGGTATATTTTCTCTTGGGTCAGACTGAATCAAAGTCAAATGGCGTCCTATCTGGCTCAGGGCCAGGACCAGCAAGAGAAGCAAGCCCACTTCTCAGCCGGGCCTTGCTGTTGACAGCAGGGCAGGCTTTGTCCCTGACCAGCGTCTCTTGAGGAAGGCAGTGTTTGGACAAGCCTGTAATTCGAGAAGCCCGTTAGGTGCATGCTTCTTTTCTTACCTTTGTTGGGTTGCCAAAATATTTACTTGACTTTTTAACTCCAAATCTCTGAAACACACCTGGATTGCCCAAAACAGGCAATTTTCTTATTTTCTATTATTCATAAAAGAAAGCCCAACCTAAGCAAAGACAGAGGGATTGGGGTATGCAGGGGGCTGGTAAGAGATCCAGCTTTATGTAATTCAGTCACTTCTTTTTTTTTGAGACAGGGTCTTGCTCTGTCACCCAGGTTGGAGTAGCAGGATCACCACCCACTGTAGCCTCCACCTCCCAGGCTCAAGCCTCCCGCTCCAGCCTCCCGAGTAGCTGGGACCACAGGCATGCACCACCACATCTGGCTAATTTTTTAATGTTTTGTAGAGACAGGGTCTCACTATGTTGCCGAGGCTGGTCTCCAACTCTTGAGCTCAAGCAATCCTCCTGCCTTGACTTCCCAAAGTGTTGGGATTACAGGCACGAGCCTTCAGTCACTTCTTAAGAGATGCGTGCACATCAAATGGATTCTTTTTTTTTTTTTTTGAGTCGGAGTCTTGCTCTGTCACCCAGACTGGAGTGCAGTGGCGCGATCTCGGCTCACTGCAAGCTCCACCTCCCGGGTTCAAGCCATTCTCCTGCCTCCTGAGTAGCTGGGACTACAGGCGCCCGCCACCACGCCTGGCTAATTTTTTTGTATTTTTTTAAGTAGAGATGGAGTTTCATCGTGTTAACCAGGATGGTCTCTATCTCCTGCCCTCGTGATCCGCCCACCTTGGCCTCCCAAAGTGCTGGGATTACAGACATGAGCCACTGCGCCCAGCCAAAACAAATGGATTCTATTTTGACCTTTAGTGAAGAGTCAATTTCCATCCCAAGTAAAACTTCTGTGTGGTAGTCAACTCCATTTATTTTATTTTTAAAAACATAATCATGATATAAAAGCCAATTGCATTATATCTGCAGAGAGACTGAATATCTTATAACAGGAAAAATGGGGTGCTAAAACATCAAACAAAATTTGAACTGTTTCAGATGAATTTCATGTGATAGAAAAGACCCAAAAATAAGTGCAAAATTTTTTTCTTCTCTTTCCTTGGTGCTTCTGGTGTTATGAAAAAGAACATGGGAAATGGTCTCTGGTCTAGTTAGTGTCAAGCCACTGCACAAGGATCTCCCCCTGCCATGTGCGCCTGTCTATCAGCTCCCATTTCTGCCAGGCGCTTTCGGAAGTACATGCTTGCCAAGGCTGAGTGGCCTGGAGTCAGACCTTCCAGACAGGCTGTGGTTTACAGGTAGAATTCAACAGAAGGTCCCTGCACTGCCTGTTGCTGCTGTTCTTAGGAGCACAGATCCTGCTTAAGGATACCCATCCCACAAAGACACCTATATCCCCTTCTGAGAATAAGGGCCTGGCCATCAGTTAGGGCAATTATTTACAGTCTGGTGCGCATCAGCAAACCTTTGAGAGAAAAATTAATTTGGAAACATTTTTTAGATCTTTAACATTCTAAAATGGAACTTGGAGTTGTTCTCTTTTCAAACACACCGAAAGCGCAGCAGGGGTGGGAAGCTTACTGACAGCTGTTACTTGCCTACATCCTTTCTACAGCATTAGGTTTCAAAATGGCACCTCTTGTACCTTTATTTTGATAAGCTGTCTTTTATCTGCCCTAACTTAGATTTGATGGACTATAACTTTAAGCCCATAAGAAATCAGGCCCTCCCTAAGGCTGGTCAGCAGCAGCATGTACATTCATGGATACTTTCTGGAATTGTAAGAAATAGCAGGCCAGTCCCTTCCAGAACCATCATTAGCTAAAAATGGGAGGAGATTTGGCAGTGGCTCTCCCATCTTTCCACATTTTTAACCAGCCACTCTGCTATTGAGCTGAAATTGAAGGAATCCTGACCATCGACATACATAAGGATCTACCATCCTCTTGCCAATGGATATATATAGAGACTTTTGTGGCTCAGATGTCCCAGATAAAATCAAGGGATCATGCTTTAAGGCAGGTCAGGATAAGGACAAGTGATGAAGAGAGAGGAACACTTCTAGACCCTCTATTAACTTAAAAGCTTTTGAAGAGAAAAGGGAATTAATTATTTTTAGGAATCTCAGAAGGACCTTAAATATATGACCCATGTAAAATACTACAGTAAGGACAACTGGCAAATCTCAGTGACAGAATGTGCCTTCCAATGGTTTCTTAGATATGACACAAAAAGCACAAGCAACCAAAGAAAAAAATAGATAAACCAGACTTCATCAAGATTAAAAACTTTTGGCTGGGCGCGGTGGCTCACTGTAATCCCAGCACTTTGGGAGGCCAAGGTGGGCAGATCACTTGAGGTCAGGAGTTCGAGACCAGCCTGGCCAACAAGGCGAAACCCCGCCTCTACTGAAAAATAAAAAAATTAGCTGGGCGTGATGGCGTGTGCCTATAATCCCAGCTACTCGGAAGGCTGAGGCAGGAGAATCGCTTGAACACAGGAGGTGGAGGTTGCAGTGAGCCAAGATCATGCCACTGCACTCCAGCCTGGGCAACAGAGCGAGACTCCATCTCAAAAAAAAAAAAAAAAAGTTTAAAAAATCTTGGGTTGCAAAGGTTATCATCAAGAAAGTGAAAAGATATCCCACAGAATGGGAGAAAATACTTACAAATAATGTATCTAATAAGGGACTTATGTCTAGAGTAAAGAACTCTCATAACTCAATAAACTCAATAATAAAAGGAAAAATTCGCCAATTAAAAAAATAGGTAAAGCTCCATCCTGGTTAACATGGTGAAACCCTGTCTCTACTAAAAATACAAAAAAATTAGCCGGGTGTGGTGGCAGGCATCTGTAGTCCCAGCTACTCGGGAGGCTGAGGCAGGAGAATGGTGTGAACCCAGGAGGCGGAGCTTGCAGTGAGCTGAAATCGCGCCACTGCACTCCAGCCTGGGCAACAGACTGAGACTCCATCTCAAAAAAAAAAAAAAAAAAAAAAAAAAAGGCAAAGCTTTGGGAGGCCAAGGCAGGAGGATCATGAGGCCAGGAGTTGGTGACCAACCTGGGCAACAGAACAAGACCTTCTCTCTACAAAAAATAATCTAAAAATGAGCTGGGTGTGGTGGGCGTGCCTATAGTCCCAGCTACTCAGGAGGCTGAGGTGGGAGGATCGCCTGATCCCGGGAGGTTGAAGCTGCAGTAAGCCATGGTTGCATCACTGCACCCCAGCCTAGAAGCATCCCACCCCCATCTCATTCCCACTCTCGCCGTGTGATACACCAGCTCCCCCTTTGCCTTCTGTGGTGATTGTAAGCTTCCTGAGGCCCTCACTAGAACCAGATGCTGGCAACACACTTCCTGTACACCTTGCAGAACCATAAGTCAATTCAACCTCTTTCTTTATAAATTTCCCAGTCTCAGGTATTCCTTAGAGTAATGCAAATGGAATAATACAGTAACTGAAATAGTAAGATTAAGTTGATGCTATAAATTGTAAATTGTAACTACACCTTTACAGTTAGGTTCTAAAAGATGTTAAGATTTCATCAATTAAAACTTAAAAAATTAGAAAACACCAAGAAAATGACTATGTTTACTAAGAAATGAAAAAAGAACCTTCTAAAGCTAAAACATTTTAAAATTTAACTTCTAAAAATCAAGCCAAGGTTAACAAAAATTCCTAGCATATTTCACATTCTTTTCTCTGAGGTTCTTTTGTGAATTGATACATTTGTGAAAACCTCTAGCAACAGGTTAATGTGAAATAGTAAAGACCACATACCTTTATATATAGCACAAGAAATAGCCCACGTTCTTCAGGCTGACCAGAATTTTATTTAATCCAACAGTGCTTAGAACAAATGGAATGTGTTGAAACTCTTTTATTATTTTTATAACTAGCAAAAATGATGCAAAATTTAAAGTATTTCAGTACCCCCAAAGGAATTGTTTAGACTGTCTCAAACTTAATACTCAGCACAAAAAGCATTACTCAGACCAGAGAGCCTGATGCTTGATTTGGAAAACAACATCACAAAAGCAGAATGGTCCCCTGTACCTTTTATCAAATAAAATATGGTGCTTTTGGAAACACAAAGGACAGAAGAAAAGTAATTGCATGTCTCTGCAGTCTGAGGTCTTGTGACCAAGGCTCACAGACAAGCTTTCTCTGCCGTCCCCTTTCCTTCTGTCTCTACATTCAGTGAGAATTTATGTCACCGAGGTTAGGGGTGTGGTGCTCTCCTGCACAGGTGCTATACAAGTACACTGAAAGGGAGGGGGAACTCCAGAAATGTCCAGGTTTTCTGGGAGCTTCGTAGACAGAAAACCAATCATGTGCAGTCACTGTCATGGTAGCCCCAGCAACCTGCAACGCACTCGAGTGACTGCCCACTGTTGTGGCTGGCATAACGTATGTGCATGGCCAGATGTATATGAGGCCTCTCTATTTGAGAACAAAAAGCAGATGGGACTTTTGGGCTTGTCTCCAGGAATGAGAGATTCTGGCCAACTGACCCGATACTGGTACTTCCTCTATCCTTCAAAATGGCCTCTCAAAGGTAGACAAGTTCAGTAGCTTTCTTTGAGAGTCAGGGGTCTCGCTCTATCACCCAGACTAGAGTACAGTGGCACAATCATAGCTCATTGCAGCCTCAAGTGATCCTCCCACCTCAGCCTCCCAAGTAGCTAACCATGCCCAGCTAATTTTTTTTCAATAGCTTTTTTTTTGGAGACAGAGTCTTGTTCTGTCGCCCAGGCTGAAGTGCAGTGGCACCATCTTGGCTCACTGCAACCCCCACCTCCCAGGTTCAAGCAATTCTCCTGCCTCAGCCTTCTGAGTAGCTGGGATTACAGGCACCCACCACCATGCCTGGCTAATTTTTTTTTTTTTTTTTTTTTGTATTTTTATTAGAGATGAGGTTTCACCATGTTGGCCAGGCTGGTTTCAAACTCCTGACCTCAAGTGATCCGCCCACCTCTGCCTCTCAAAGTGTTGGGATTACAGGCATGAGCCACCGCACCCGGCTTCAGTAGCTATTTTTGATGGGCTTTTCAGCTGGCCAGTCATACCATCTCTAGTTCTCTGATTTAGCCTCATTTGTGACCCTTGTTGCATCAAGAGCCTGGTTCAATGGATGGGGACAGTGGCAGGGAGGAGTGTCTAGAGCTAGGCTTCCCCCAGTCCTGGGAGGTGGCCAGCCGCCTGTGCTCCTTGGCTTGACAGACACATTATTTGTTCTGTTAACTCACTCTATCTTCAAAACTCTCTTAAGCCTCCCAGTGGATCTCAAATAATGGTTTCAGTTAGCCTTTTATAGCTAAAAATGTCTCTGATCTAGTTTTTTAAAAGTATTGTGCTTAATATAGCCTTTTAACCAAGAGGTTCATGGAAGATTTAGGTGGTGTAGATGAAAAGCATCAAATTAAAATTTTGTGACTTTCAAATCATACATATGACCTTAGAAGAAAACTTGTATTCCCTGAGTTTTTCCACTTACATCATGCCAATCTTTTCTTTCTGATCTGATTTCCTTTACTAAGTTTCTTGCTTGCATCCGGTTTTAATCAAATGTAGGAGATAGCTACCCAAGTGCTCCTTAAAATAAATATGAAGAGCTTTCCAAACTTCCTCCTCAACAAGAAACCCATCTTGCTCACCTTAGAAAAGGGACTTCCATCTGCTTGGTAGCAGTATGTTTAGAAATTGATAGTGATATTTGTTGAGTATTCACATATTCCAAGAACTTTACATACTTTTTTTTTTTTGACGGAGTCTCGCTCTGTCGCCCAGGCTGGAATGCAGTGGTGCGATCTTGGCTCACTGCAACCTTTGCCTCTCTGATTCCAGCGATTCTCCTGCCTCAGCCTCCCGAGTAGCTGGGATTACAGGTGCCCGCCACCATGCCCGGCTAATTTATGTATTTTTACTAGAGACGAGATTTCACCATGTTGGCCAGGCTGTCTCGGACTCCTGACCTCAGGTGATCCGCTCGCCTCAGCCTCCCAAAGTGCTAGGATTACAGGCGTGAGCCACCGTGCCTGGGTCATACTTTTTTTTTTTTTTTTTTTTTTTTAAAGAGCCAGGGTCTCACTCTCAGTTGTGTGATTATAGCTCACTACAGCCTTGAACTCCTGGGCTCAAATGATCCTCCCATGTTAACCTTCTGAGTAGCTGAGACTACAGTGTGTGCCACCATGCCCAGCTATTTTTTTGTTTTTTTGTTGAAATGAGTTCTCGCTTGTTGCCCAGGCTGGTCTGGAACTCCTGACTTCAAGTTATCCTCTCGCCTCCCAAAGTGCTGGGATTATAGGTGTGAGCCACTGTACCCAGCCACTTTATTCTTTTTTTAATTATCAGAATTCACTTTACAGAGGCGGTATGGAGAAACGGAGGCAGAGAGGTTAAACAGCCCAAAGTAACCCAGCTGTTACTGAACAGAACGATCACTTGCACCTCAGCTGTTCAGCTTTAAGATCTAGGCTCTTCACACTCCTCAGATGGAGAGAGGAATGTGCCAGAGCACCAATTCCCAACAGAACCATAGCACAAAGGCTACCAGGAACCTGTTGTTCATGGCAGGCAATGGGGCAGAGAAAGGAATGAAGGAGGAAGGGGAACTCCACTAGATACCAGTAAGCACCCCCACTCCCACCCCCCAACCCTGACATTTTTGAAGACCAAAAATGTTTCCAGACATTGCCAAGTATCCCCTGGGGTGAAAATTGCCCCCGTTTGGAAACAATGTGATAAGAGGACCAGGGAAGGTACGATACCGTCAGTCCCAAATAGTTGCAGCGTGCTTCCAGGGATGCCATGGCAATAAGCAATAGTCAGTATGCCCCGTGCTCAGGTACATGACAAATACCTACTTGTTTCACTGACCAGAGAAGGCCTGGTGAGGCCAAGACCTATGATGTGGAACAGCTGTGACCAGGTCCATGGGACAGTTAGCCTCCTCCCCTTCCCACAGCAAATCAGACCCAAGGATTCCGGCCCAACCGTCCCTCTTAAGTTGAGAATCTCACCACTCAGGAGTGCTAAGCTGAACTTGGGTTAAAGCCGAGGGCACTCAGGTATCCCAGGAAATACAGATCTGTGATCAAAACCCCAATGAGGATGGCATGCGGAAGGATAAGGCCCCTCATCCCCACAATATCTACATGGCTTATAAAAAACTCTGTAGCTTTACCCAAGTTCCTGTCTCAAGTAAAGACCCATCCAGGTAAGCCCTGTTCTACGTCAAGGTTGAAGGTTATATCCCAATGCAAGCAGCAAAGATATTCAGATCTTCTTCGCTGAGGTTCTTCAAATTCACTGTCTGGTTGTTTGTTATTAAATGTGGAAAACTGCAACCCATTGGTTTTACTCAAATTACTAACACTTCAGAACCAACATTCTTTTGGCCCCAGTACTGCAGAACAGAATAGTTCACCTTTACTCCCTGTATTGTCCTCTAGTTTCTGTTCATTTCCACTGATTTTATAGAAGGGTTTCTCTAACCCAGCTAAGCTCTCTGAGATGATCTTTACAGTGGGGCCATAATGCCAGCTCAATGAACTCAGATTACAGACCTCCTTCACATTCTCAAAAATGATTAAGAACCCCAAGAACTTCTGATTTGGTTATATCTATTGATATTTACCAAATTAGGAATTATAATCTGAGAAATCTTTAAAACACAGAATATGCAAGCACACATTCCATTAGTTGTCAGAGTGATGAAGTCACTACACACAATGATGTCCCTGGAAAACCTCACCATACATTTGTGAGAGAATAAGAGTGAAAAGGGCAAATGTCACTTCAATATTACCATGAAAACAGGCTGGGAACAGTGGCTGATGCCTATAATCCCAGCACTTTGGGAGGCTAAGGAAGGAGGATGGCTTGAAGCCAGGAGTTTGAGACCAGCCTGGGCAACATAGTAAGACCCTGCCTCGAAAAAATAAAAATAATTTCAAAATAATATTACATGAAAACAGTTTTGGCCAGGCACAGTGGCTCACGCCTGTAATCCCAGCACTTTGGGAGGCCAAGGAAGGTGGATTGCTTGAGCCCTGGAGTTCAAGACCAGCCTGGGCAACATGGCAAAACCACATCTCTATTAAAAATAGAAAAATTAGCTGGGCATCATGGCATGTGCCTATAGTCACAGTTACTCGGGTGGCTGAGGTGGGAGGATCACCTGAGCCTGGGGCACAGAGGTTGCAGTGAGCCAAGATAGTGTCACTGCACTCTAGCCTGGGTGACAGAGTGAGATCCTGTCTTGGAAAAAAAAAAAAAAGGCAGTTTTGATCCTGTGGGTGCTCCTAGAAAAGACCTTGAGAATCCCTACCAGCCCCCAGCCACACTTTGAGAACTGCTGTGCTAGATTAACACCTACACTGTAATTTTACGAGCTTTGACTTTCATCAGAGAACTCAGTGAGACAATGGTCAGAAAACAAAAGCCCAAATTCTGAGAGGTTTGGCAAAACCCATTCATCATCATAAGGTGACTGCCCCCTTCCTGGATTCTTCCTGAGTTCTTTTTCCTTTAAGTACCAACCACACTCCATCACTGTGGTACATATCAGGTTCTGGCTAATATTTAGTGAAGAAATTCAAACATCTTTGGATTTCTTCTTTTTTTTTTGAGATGGATTCTCGCTCTGTCGCCCAGTTTGGAGTGCAGTAGCGTGATCTCGGCTCACTGCAAGCTCCTGGGCTCACGCCATTCTCCTGCCTCAGCCTCCTGAGTAGCTGGGATTACAGGCGCCCGCCACCACACCAGGCTAATTTTTTTGTATTTTTAGTAGAGATGGGGTTTCACCGTGTTAGCCAGGATGGTCTGGCTCTCCTGACCTCGTGATCCACCCGCCTCAGCCTCCCAAAGTGCTGGGATTACAGGCGTGAGCCACCCCGCCCAGCCTTGGATTTCAATTAGTTTGATTTTCCTATCCTCCATCCACTTTGTCATGAAGAGAGGATAACAAATAAGTCTGTCTTCCCTTCCCCGAAATTCTCTATTTTGGGAGTTGTTCTTCAAAAGTAAGTAGAAAATTTCCCCAGGGCATCCTGATGCACAAAGAAGGGTTTGGTCTCTGTCCTCATTGTACCTAGATTGTCCAGAACACTCCTTGGGAATAACATTCTATGGGATGCGGGTTTGCTTTGCCCCAGGATTCAGTAACATCAGTCACCCACTTCTTTCCTGGAGCAACTATGCTCCATCGCTTAAGGAAAAAATTGCTTATTTTTTTTATACCCACTGCTCTCAACTTCCATATATTATGAAATGATTTAAGTAATACCATTGTTTTTTTAACTGTGGTAAAATATACATAACATGAAATTTGCCACTGTAATCATTTTTAAGTGCACAGTTCAGTGGCATTAAGCATATTCACGCTGTCATCCAACCATGACCACCACTCATCTCCAGTACTTTTTCATCTTCTCAAATGGAAGCTTCATACCCATTAAACAACTCCCCTTGCCCCATACCCCACCCCAGCAACCACCATTCTACTTTCTGTCTCTACGGATTTGACTCCTTAAGTAATACCACTTTGAGTGATAAAAGGAACGAAGGAGCCGGGAGCGGTGGCTCATGCCTGTAATCCCAGCACTTTGGGAGGCTGAGGTGGGTGGATCACCTGAGTTTGAGACCAGCCCGACCACCATGGAGAAACCCCGTCTCTACTAAAAATAAAAAATATAAAATAAATTATCCAGGCGTGGTGGTGCATGCCTGTAATCCCAGCTACTCAGGAGGCTGAGGCAGGACAATCACTTGAACCCGGGAGGCGGAGGTTGCAGTGAGCCAAGATCACACTATTGCACTCCAGCCTGGGCAACAAGAGTGAAATTCCATCTCAAAAAAAAAAAAAAAAAAAAAAAAAAAGAAAGGAACTGAAGGACAATAAAGGAGGGAGAGAGAAAGGAAGAGAAGATGGACAATAAGAGTCAACACCTGGTTTAGTGCTTTTGGTTGTGCCAGGAATGTGATCAACACTTGATATACATTATCTCCTTTAGGGGCTATTCCCATCTAAACACACAGACGCGTTAAGTGACTGCAGGAGCTCACAGAGCTTAGAAGGCTTGGGGCTGAGTGCGGTGGCTCACGCCTGTAATCCCAGCACTTTGGGAGGCAGGAGGATCGCTTGAGTCTAGGAGCCTGTTGCCTGGGTAATATATTGAGACTCTGTCTCTACAAAAAAATTAAAAACTAGCTAGGTGTGGTGGCACACACCTGTAGTCCCAGCTACTTGGGAGGCTGAAGTGGGAGGATTACTTGAGCCCGGGAGTTTGAGGCTGAAGTGAGCCATGATTGTGCCACTGCACTCCAGCCTGGGCAACAGAGCAAGACCCTGTCTCAGAAAAGGGTTAGAACTGGGGTTGAAACCTGTGTTAGTATGATGACTAAACCCAAGTCTTAACCCTTACATGCTCCCCCTCTCCCAATCACTTTGAAAAGTCAAGGTTCCTTTGACTCGGTTCTCTGTCTTCTGGTCATTTTGGTTACCAGAGTCTGTATTTGTGCTTTGCAAAGAAGTTCCCAAGACACTGAGGGCTGGACGTGGGTTAGTGGGCTGACCATATGGTTCAATTTTCCACCCACCTCTCGTACCTTGGTTTCCCCGCTGCTTATCAGAAGAGCCAGGATTAAAAACCAGCTCTCCTCCCTTTCAACATAGTTTTCCACCTTCCCATGCTGTTGGACATGTTGCTCCTACATTTCACATTTGCTTAAATGTGCAAACAGAAAGGAGAGATGGCAAACATGAAGAGCCCTCAGTAATTTCCGGGCTTGAGCCCCACTAAAGCATTTAAAATAACAGATGCCTGGTTCCACTGGGTTCCTCAAAACATCTAGTGGCAGGGTAACTTGATCTCTCTCCAACCAGAATAGATGCCACTGCCAAGTGAACATTCCCAGAATACAGATTCTACAACACCTGCTCTTTTGTCAGAAGCCTTCAGTGGCTCCCAGCTCTTTAGAGAATGAAGACCAAACTCTTTCACTTGAGAGCCTCTTCCTTCAGCAGCAACTTTCAATGCTCCTTGAAGAACATCTTGCTCCCTTTTCTTCTGCCCTGTTCTGGAGATTCTTTTCCTACCTCATCCTGTCTCCTCGTACGTCTGTCTTACACAACCCCCACTCTGTAAAACCTGCCCAACTCCTCCAGTCCACGTGGACTCACTTTTCACTCACCACAATCACTCTCTGTGTTCAGGGGAAGAAGAGGATTTGATTCTATGTAGTACACATAGACCATGAGTTTCTTCCAGCTGAACCTTCTCTGAATGACTCAGGATAGACTGAGGACATCACCCACAAGCTCATGATCACATATATGATTTAGTGACTGCAGGGGCCTGCTATGAGGATGACAGCCCAGCACTGCCCCCCACCAGCTCTCTTCTGGAGAACACATCTTCCCCTTGCTCCCCACCTATGGCAGGACAGCCCCCAGGGTACAGCTGACTAGCCTAAGTGTGAGCCCCTGATCCAAGATGGGCCAATGAATCCCTTTTCTGGAATTTTTCAGACTCAAAACCCAGAGAGTTCATGCCCAGGGAGACTGGGGGGCTGCGTCTCCTACCAAATGGGGAGTGAGAGAATAAAGCAGATGCGTGGATGGAGAAGAGTTGAGGAGGGGGCCGCTGGCATCCAAGCCCTGGAGTCAGGTGCTGTGGAAGGGCATCAGCACCCCTGTCATGGGTTCTGTGACATAGCCCAGAATCCTCAGAGCAAATTCCTCTTTCTGCTCAACAGAGCTCAGGCTGAGTTTCTATTATGTGGAACTAACAGTTTTAACCAAGCCTTTGACTACTAAAAGGCATCTGATTTCTTTTTCGTTTTTCCGGGGGGTGGGGGGTGGTGTGCGGGGCCGGGGCGGGGGGTTGGGGGGAAGAGGGAGAGAGATAGGGTCTCACTCTATATCCCAGGCTAGAGAGCAGTGGCATGATCATGGCTCACTGTAGGCTCGAACTCTTTGGCTCAAGCCATCCTCTTGCCTCAGCCTCCCGAGTAGCTAGTACTACAGGCTCGTGCCACCATGCCCAGCTTATTATTTTTTTTTTTTTATTCTTTTGTGGACAGGAGGTCTCACTATGTTGCCCAAACTGGTCTTGAACTTCTGGCCTCAAGCAGCTCTCCTGACTCAGCCTCTCAAAGTGTTGAGATTATAGGTGTGAGCCACCGTGCCCAGGTGAGCATCTGATTTTTATCTAGAAAAACTGGCGAAGACAAAAGGAGGCAAAGAGAAGAAACCAACATTGATGAAGCAGAAGGGTCTTATTTCAGATCTTGGCTCTTGTAAGCTGTTCAATTTCAGGTTATGTAGAGAACTCTCTAGGACTCGATTTGCTTATGGTAAAATGGGAATCTGGATAGGATGTCAAATTAGCATTAATTAAAGGAGACGCTATAGGTAAAGCTCTCAGCACTCGGCGAGCACCCAACATGTGATGGCTGACTTCTACATGGTCATCCAACATTTCCCATAAGCCAGGCTCTGAGCTAAGTGCTCTACAAATATCTCACAGAGCCCCCACTACAATGACACAGGCAGCATTAGCCCTGCTGCACAGAGGAGAATGCACCGAGAACTGAATGAAGTACCCTTTCTGAGGTCAGTCAGCCAAGGCTGGGTCTCTGTGACATGAAACTCCCTTTCTTATCTTTTTCTCAATTTCCCCACATTGTACTATTAAGCCTTGGAGAGAGCTAAGGCCATGCCTATTGACCATACTGTTCTTCTTTTTTTTTTTTTTTTTTTTTTTTTTTTTTTTGAGAGAGGGTCTCTCTGTTGGCCAGGCTGGAGGGCAGTGGCACAATCTCAGCTCGCTGCAGCCTTGACCTCCTGGGCTCAAGCAATCCTCCCACCTCAGCCTCCCGAGTAGCTGAAACCACAGGCATGCACCACCATGACTGGCTAATTTTTGTGTTTTTTGTAGAGATGGTGTTTTGCCATGTTGCCCAGGCTGGTCTCAAATCCCTGAGCTCATGCAATCGGCGCGCCTCAGCCTCCCACAGTACTAGGATTACAGGCGTGAGCCACCACGCCTGGCCCATGCTGTTTTCCAAACCTCTCCCTAAGAATCTTCTCTAACATGGGGTGGTGGTTATGGGGCATTTATTCTGCCTTGAGTTACAGAATCAGGGCCAACCAGGCTTTGCTAGAAACGCCAGCACCTCTCATGTTCCCTGCCATGAGACTCTCCACAGGTAAAGCTATTAAAGTCAACCTTCAAAATTCTTAGCTCTATAAGATGCTTAATAAACACTGATTGAATTGGAGGGTTAAGATGCCCGGGACATAAACATAGACTCCTTTGCTTTGGGGATGGTTTAAGACCCTTACATTGATTGACTGATTGACTGATTGATTGACTGGAGACAGGGTCTTCCTCTGTCGCCCAGCCTAGAGTACAGTGGTGCGATCACAGCACACTCCAACCTCCACCTCCAGCAATTCTCCTGCCTCAGACTCCCAAGCAGATGGAACTACAGGTGCATGCCACCACTCCCAGCTAATTTTGTATTTTTAGTAGAGATGGGATTTCGCCATATTGGCCAGGCTGGTTTCAAACTCCTGGCCTCAAGTGATCTGCCCGGCACGGCCTCCCAAAGTGCTGGGATTACAAGTGTGAGCCACCGTGCCTGGCCAAGACCCTTACTTAATAGCAAACTCTAAGAAATGTCAATTTTATTCTATTTTAACTTCTTAGGACTTAAACTGCCACAGGTAACAGAGCCTGTTTTTCAATGCTGTAACTAGAATCTCTCCGAACTAGAATATCAAAGAAAGATTTTAAATATGATACAGAAGCTCAAAATATTAGAAGAACAAGGAACCCACAACAGCCTCTCCACATTAAGTACAGGAGAGAGGCTCAGAAAGCTGGAGAGATGCGCCCATGCCTGGTCTGAGGCTGGGCCTGGCCTGGCGCCCTGGCCTGCTGCTCCCCTGTGGGGTCTTGCCCTCATCCCAACGCTGCCTCCCTAGCTGATCCTGACTGTACCTCCTCCCACAGAATGGAAAAGAAGAGAAGGAGGGGATCATAAATCATATTTCTCTCATGAGTTTATAGAGTTCTTTTCTGAGAAGTTCAAAAGCACTCAGTAATAAACTGAGGTGACAAGTTTATGCCTTTTGCTTTTAAAATGAAATTTTATTTGAACTCTTGGAGAGGCATTTACGTGTTTTAATTTAGGACATCCTCTCTTATTTCAAGGTTTCACCCTGTGGCATTGTCTGTAAGTACGCGGGTAGGTGAAGAGGGTGGGTGGTGGGGAGGGGGTTAGCCTGTGTCTAGGCCACCCCTCTTCTCCCACAGGCTTTTCCGAATGCCTGGCCCGCCTGCAGCGGACAGAGTCCTCCCTTCGTGGGTTTTCAACAAGTTTCAACATCCACAGGAAGGAGCTCCCACCCCCAAGCTAGCTTGGCTGTTTTCCTCCTATGCCTTTTCTGCCTCTGTCCACTGCCTGCTTCTTCAGAGCCAAGAAATGGATGGAAAATCATGAATTCTGCAGGGACTAAGCTGCCCAAGGGGATAACTTTGCCTTCCTTTAACCTATTTTTTTGCTACCAGCCCCCGGGGGGCTCATAAAACAAGAAAACGCAGTTGTCAAAGTTAATGAAATTGAGACTGAGAACAACCACACTTTAAGAAGATGATGAGAGAAAGAGGGGCGGCAGGAGAGAGAGGGAGGAAGAGAGAGAGATCTTGACTCATCGCACCTCCTACACTGGCCCAGGCTTTAAACAAATGCAAAACTGTCTTTCTTTGGCCCAAGCTTCTGTGCTAATGATTTTATTCAGGTGTAAACTCAAAGCCAAACTGCAATGACTAACCATGTGCAAATGCTGCCCGCCACCAGCCTCTCCAGAGAAACGTGGGGGCTGCTGCTTGCAAGCAGGTAGAACCACATGCTCAGCTTCTGGGCCCCTGCATCCAATAAATATTTGGTGAGTGAATAAACTTAAGAAGCACTTAATGATTCAATATATGCCTAGGGTTTTTTATTCCCCCTGGCATCACAGGCTAGCAGGCCAAATCATACAAAACTCTCCAAGTAAAACCACTACATGGTTGTTCCAGGCAGAGGAGGAAATAGTTGGGTTCTCTGAGTGACTTCAGCAAGTTTCCCCACCGCTAAACCATGGGAGAACTATAGGGTGACCCTGTAATCCCTGTTCCAACCCATTTATAGATGCGAGAGACACAAAGATGGAGCCCCACCAGACCGGGGCAAAGCAAATGAAGTCAAGGAGCCAATTCCTGCATAAAGTACAAGAGAAAATGTTGTATTAGGAGCGTAACACCTACAAGGAAAGCACTGTTCCTACCCTGTAGATGTAGCTGGCATTTCTCCTAAGAAAACACTAAAATATTCTCAAGGGGGTCATTGCTCTCCTACCACCACTAAGCAGCTCTGGCCAATTATTTAAATGATGAAGTATCAGGGCCTGAGCCACCTAAAACACCTCGATTCAACTTTGTGAACTGTAAAGCAAACAGCTAATAATTCCTGTGGGGTTATTTTTTCCAACTAAAGGGCAGGAGAACTTGACAAGTGACTTGAAGTTATTCAGAAGACAAGAGGGATGCAAAAACCACAAAAAGATTAGACCTGTGAGGGTACCTGGAGCCAAAGGTCTTTCAGGAGACACTGGCAGGGGCTACTTTAAGTCTGGAAAGTCTTCCCTCTCTAGCACCCTGCTTCAAAACCACCCCTTGTCTCTCCTGGATTTCTCAAGAGAGCCTCAAGAGGTTAGGAACCAGGACAGTTTTTTGCCCCAGCTCTCTCCCCATGGTACCTAGAATGGCAGCTTTTGAGAATATAAAAGATATCCAGTCAGTACCACTATCCTTAGGACAGACTACCTTTCTCCCAGCCAAAATTCAAATCACCTTCTCTGAACCTCTCCTTTTAACAAAATGATGCAGTCTAAACAAAATCCAGTTTAAAACAGGTTGTTACCTGTCATATTTTAAGATTGTTGATGAGTGGCTTTCCAAAGTAAATTTATTTCTATCTTATACTGCAGTCAAAGTAATGCTGACCCTCTTGGCTAAAAAGTCTTTTTTAGTACTTCTAAATGGAGTGATGGTAGCCAATGGCAGCAAACGTTTATTGAGGGCTTACTCTTGTGTGAGGCGTTTGCATCTCATCTCACCTCCTAACCACCTATGAGGTAAGTTCTAATACAGGACCATAATTGCTGTCTGCCATTCTGAAACCAAAAAAAGCTCTAAAACCGAAACATTTTCCCATAACTTACTTGGCAGCAAAACTTAATGGACCTGAACTCATCTGGAGGCAAAGCTGCCGTGAACTAACACGAGGCTATTTAGATTTTAGTTATCCCACTTAATGTGAAGATCTCTATGGTTTGCTATACAAATGTGAATGTGTTTGGTTACTGAGTGCCTCCCCATGTCTCTTGGAGGTTACTTAATATAAAATCTATACCCCTTAATGCCTTTCTAAACCCCCCAAATCTCAGAATTCTGAAACATCTGGCCCAAGGGTGTAAGATAAAGTATTGTGAATCTCTATTATTAGCCCATTTCACAGACAAGAGACTAAGACTCCTTGAGGGGAAGCAACTTGCCCAAGGCCACACAATGGACAAGAGGGTAGAGCCCGCTCTGAGACTGGCAGTCTCTTTCAGTCTGGGCTTGTAAACACTGGTGGGCCACTGCAAGGCATGTCTCAGTCCCCACCTCATGCAACTTCAGCCGGGAAGGAGCACTGTGCCAGCATGGCTCTTCTCCATAATCAACTATTTGAGGAATGCTGAAATGGAAGAGTGGAAAACACCAACCAGAAACACAGTGATTCCAAGGGCCTGGTGCTTACCTTGCCTAGGACAGTGAGGCATGGTTTCGGGTCCAATTCTGGCTGTTCCAGCTTCACCACTCCTACCCAGCCATATTCATACAAGTCCTCTTCGTCATTGTTATTACATAGGCCCAGTGGGTGCATCTAGGAAATAAAATGGAAAGAAAACTTCAGCAGGCAAGCTACACATTTGCTTGACTCATATTGTGTATTTCTCAGATGCTATAGCCAAAAGTAACGTCAAAACTTAAAATTTTAAGAGTGGGGACAGTTTTTCAACCCAAGGGGAATTTTATTTCAGCACAATGAGCTGAGCACTGGGGAGAACACTATAGAGCCATTATAAATGTATGTTATGCATGCTTTTTTACTGCCTTGTAAGTGATGGTGATCCAAGGTGGAAACTGCCCAATAGGATCTAGGGAAAGAAAACAGCACAATTCCCATATAAATGCCAATCTAAATTGCTGTGAAATACCATAAATTTAACACTAAGTAGCAATTACAGACGAGACTAGCTATGTTAGTATCCAAGATTGTTTGGCTTCTAGACTTCAACAACATGTCTACTTCAACTTACGCAAGAGGATCTGGAAACACATCCCGGACTCTATGCAGAGACCACAGAAATCACCAGTGTAATTAACAGGCTGTTTAAAGGCTACCCCTGGTTACTGGGAAACAGATAAAATTCTTTGAGGTCTTTTCAAAATTTGCAAAGCACAAAATCAAAGATGGGCAGATAAGCAGTGTCAAATTTCTGTGTGTGAAAGTGCAGTCAAACCAGAACAACCCTAAGGTTTGTGCTCACAGTTCTATCACTGAGTGGTACCAGGCCCTAGAATCCCTAATAACAATCTGAGAAGAGGAAATCCTCAGGGATAAACATAACTTATCAAGAAGCTGATAAGCCTAGCACTGTGTGTGCTAAGCTCTTAAATAAGTGGAAGAAATACGTCTTTAGATTCATGACAAGTTAGAAACACAAGAGACCTAAGAATGCACTCTAGACAGAATATGGCCCCCAAGATATCTATGTCCTAATCTCCAGAACCTGTGCATAAGTTACCTTACACAGCAAGAGACTTTGCAGATGTGATTGAGTTTGAGATGGACAGATTACTGAATTATCTGGGTTGGTCCAGTGCAATCACAAAGGTCCTTATAAGGGAAGCAGGGAAGCATGAGAAAGATGGAGAACAGATGTGATGACAGAAGCAGAGGCTGATGTGCTTTGAAGGTGGAGGAGGGGGCCGTTAATCAAGAAATGACGATGGCCTCTAGAAGCTGACAAAGATGAAAAATGGATTCTCCCCTCAAGCTTCCAGAAAGAATGTAGCCCTGAAGACCTGTTTGGGACTTCTGACCTCCAGAACTGTAAGAGAATGAATTTGTGTTGCTTTAAGCCACTAAGTTTGTAGAAACTTGTTACAGCAGCAAATAGGAAACTAATACACCCACATTATCCCCTACTTGTTTTACAGATGAGAACAGAAATCCAAGATAAGTGGCTTTTCCAAGACACAGCCAGTATGTGGCACACCCAGAGGTGACCAGGCCCTTGGATTCACAATCCAGTGCCTTCCCACTCCACCACTTGCTTACTTTATCTTCCCTTCCTCTGAGAGCTGACCATCTGACAGGGAAAGACTAAGAGATAAAATCCTTAGAAAAAAAGTTTCCAGCTCTAAATCCTGTGGTATTCAAGCGTAACATGAGTTTGGTGCAGGCAGCAAGAGTTGCTAGAATGTTTGGGGAGGCTTTGCGCAGCTGCTGAGCCTCGAGTGAGCTTAGAAGGAAGAGTTAGACTGATCAGGGCAAAACGAGAGAGAGAGGTCAGTTCCAAGCCCGGGGAGGAGTTGCTAAGAGATGATATAGAGGGGAGAAAAGGATGCATCCAGTCTGATGAGTAGGAAGGGTCACTGTCTACACTGAGAAGGAAAGAGAAGGGCTCAAAAACCAGGATGGAGTCTGGACACCAAGACAGCATTACAGGTCCTTAGGCAGAAGATTGTGCACTGAAAGAAGTTATTTTAGGCAGGCAGGTAACCTCTTGGAGCAGTGGTATTCTTGGACTCCAGAGACAGCAACGAGTGGAGGGCAAAGGGTGCAGGCCAAAAATGAGAGTTCCTTGACAATTCAATGAAACAACAGGAAAGGGGTTGCACAAGCTCATAAGGCAGGTGAGAGGTCACCACTGCTGAGCACAGGGCGGCCAGCAGCTGTCTTTATAGTGGGTGAGAGATATCCCACCCCTTGGGAATTCCAAGATATGAGATAGAGGGCCCTGGGATCTAACTTTGCACAAACTTTCAGGCTCATGGAATTTGCCTGAAGGGCCAATGGAGGTTCTGCGGTGCCATGGGTGGGGCAACCTTTCCTCCAGGGTGCCCGTGCAGGATTCAGCCCACTCTAGAATGTTCTACAGTTATTAAACAATGAGTAGTCTGAAATGCTGAGACCTCCAACTAGAAAAAGGATGAGCAAGAGGGATGAGCCAATTATGTCAACAGCTCAGGCACCTCTGACCTCCAGGAAAGGGCTCAAGACCCGGCTCACTCCAGCACAGCTCAGCCAGCTTCCTGAAGTCCCAGGTCAAATCATGGTAACGGCAACCAGTATTCCAAGGTATTTTTAACCTGGCCACACAACTTGGAGGTTTCCAGATGAATGGCTGCTTTTGGTTACTTATACATTTATGGGGTTTGGCCAATGATAAAGAGTTGCTTTGGAGGAGCATAGGTATCATCTGGGTCTAAGACTTTGCATCTATATCAAAACTTTACTAAAGAAAGAAGCCAGGCACAAAACACCGCATATTGTATGATTCCATTACATGTCCAGAAGAGGCAAAACCATTGAGACAGAAAGAAGACTAGTGGTTGCCAAGGGCAGCAGGGAGGGGCAAATAAGGAGTGACTGTTCAATGGGTACAGGGCTTCCTTCTGGGTGATGAAAACGTTCTGGAACTAGATGGTGGTGAAGATTGCACAACACTGTGAACATATTAAATGCCACTTAATTTCATGCTTTAAAATGATTAAAATGGTGAATTTTATATGAATTTCACAATTAAAAGGTTTTTTTTAAAAAAAAAAAACAAGCAACTGTCCTAAGAGCTTACTCAGGAATGACTTACGCCCTGCCTAGCACTGCCCTCAGCTAACACGGGGATCCCACAGTGAAGGACAATGTGGTTTCTACCCTTCCAGAGCCTAAGTGAATTCCAGCAGCCCTTCAGGAAACTGGGTCCTGCAGAATACTACCTACCACAAGATGAAAAACAGGTTCTTGCACAAGTAAATAACACTGAGAAACTCTTCACAGGGACTCAGGATCTACATGTGTGAATTAAAGCTCTGCAGTGGCCAATGGTTTAAAAAGGCTTTTAACCTTTGCTAAAACCACCATTTCCTACCCTTTGTTTATAAACTTGTTTTGCATTTAATCTGATCACACTATTTCATGGGACACACGTTGAGAGATGCTAAGTTAGGGAGAACACATACACACGCATGGCAATAAACCTACAGTAAATATGACATGAGGTAAAGCTAAATGTCTGCAAATGCTGAACATCCATGACGCAAAGACTTAAGGCCATGGTAGAAAGAAATGGAGGGACAGTCGAGGGCAGCTGGAGAAAAGACAAGGCTTGGGAGAGCGGCAGATGTGGAGGACGGGGAGAAGACAAGGAATGGAAACCAAGAGGCAGCTGAAGCCAAAGCCGAGGCCTGACCCACTGCAGCCAGTGAGGTGGAAGTGGGCCTGACCAGGCCAGAGGCTTACTCTCTTGGAGGAGCAGAACACACGGCCTCAGGAAAGGCATGTGGAGAGCGTGTCCGGGCATGCAGAAATCTGAACTATGAAAGCCTCAAACACACCCAGGGGTCCCTCGGGGCTGTCAGGCTGGTGCCCTGGGCCACATTTCATTGCCAGGCTCTCTCCCCTCCTAAGCAGTCATTCCTTCCCACTCTCCTCCAAACTCCTCTATCAAATCTTCCTGACACTGGGATGGGTGACTGTTAGCAGCTCAACACATCAGCCCCGTCAAGGGCATTGACTTCTGAACAGGAATGAAAGCCTTTAAAACTAAAAGGAATTTTTCTAAAGTGCCAGTGGGAGGGACGCTTTACCCTCTTGTGGAGGGTAAAGAAGCCACTGAGATCACATCTCAGAGGATAGAAAACTTACCTCACCATCCATTCCACCTTCCCACTTCCACCCTAAGTTCCCTCTCTCCTGAGCTCCTTATTCCAGTTTACATCTCCAGTGCAAGTCTGTTAATTCAATCTAACAGGCTCCTTTGACCCACCTATTGAATATCATATTATACGATTCAGGTCTCTGTCAGCTGGCCCCTGACGACAGCATCGGCCACCCTAGGCCTCCAGCCATTTCCACCCTGAGGTTCTCTTTTCCCAAGGGCTCCAAGTTACGAGCTCAGGAGATGTTTTTATAGAGAAGCAGAAGTAGTCATTATGTGAAAATATTCTTAGGGAACTGACCTGTCCCAAGGATGGAGTATTCTAGGCAAAGGCATAAAATGCAAATGAACATACCATTTCATTTGCATTTTATGGGAAAAGTGAAACAGAGGCCTTTCCTATTAACTGGACATCTGCAATGTTAACACTTTTTTTTTTTTTTTTTAAAGGCAGGGTCTTGTTCTGTCACCCAGATGAGAGTGCAGTGGCGTGATCACAGCTTACTGCAACCTCGACCCCCTAGGCTCAAGCAATCTTGCCACCTCATTTATTGACTTTTTTTTTTTTTTTTTTTTTTTGTAGAGACAGGTCTCACAATGTCGCCCAGGCTGGTCTTGAACTCCTAGGCGCAAGCAATCCTTCCGCCTCAGCCTCCCAAAGTGCTGGAATTACAGGTGTGAGCTGCTGCACCTGACCGGTTTACACATTTTAATCTCTTATTTAATCCAACAGTGAACTCCTGCTAATTGTTGGAATATCAGATGATATAGTGACTAAACTATGTAAATAAGTTGCAAACTAGAACTGCAAATCAGCAACCAATGCAGAATTTAACAGAGTCCATGAAAGTCCTATTAGTCAACAACTGGATTCCACTCAAAGCCAATGGCAAACAATCTAGTTAAGGATTAAAGAAGAAGAAACACGCATGGGAGCTTCCACAGAGAATGATCAAAGGATTAAGAGAGACCTTTGGAAAAAGTGAGAGTCCTCTCAGTTGGAAAACAACTTTTTTTTTTTAGACGGAGTCTCCATTGCCCAGGCTGGAGCACAGTGGCGCGATCTCGGCTCACTGCAACCTCTGCTTCCCGGGTTCAAGCAATTCTCTTGCCTCAGCCTCTTGAGTAGCTGGGATTAGAGGCGCCCGCCACCACGCTCAGCTAATTTTTGTATTTTTAGTAGAGTCAGGGTTTCACCATGTTGGCCAGGCTGGTCTCAAATTCCTGACCTCAGGTGATCCACCCGCCTTGGACTCCCAAAACGCTGGGATTACAGGCATGAGCCATCGCACCCGGCTGAACTCAAACCTAAGTGAAGGATGCTATATGCACAGTCTTATACAGTTTTGCTGAGAATATCCCCGCATGGCCCACAAGAGATTCAATCTTTGTTTATTCTCAAAAATCAGTACAAAGCTGCAATTATAATTTAAATATAAACCATTACTTTCATTTTTATTTTTTAAGATATAGCCCCAATGAAACCTTTATTTCTACTTTCTCCTAAGAAATACTAGGCCCTAAACCAGGCATAGTGACACACACCTATAATCCTAGCTACTGGGAGGCTGAGGTGGGAGGATGGTTTGAACCCAGGAGTTCGAGACCAGCCTGGCCAACATAGCAAGACTGCATCTCAATTTTTTTAAAAAGATAAAAAAGAATTATTAGCCTCTGATTTTAAAAGATCCCAAGGTCCTTATCTGGATAACAATCATCTGTAGAGAATAAGAACCTTCTCTGTAAGAAATTCCTAAACTCTCCCAAAGTTTCAGCTAGACACTACTTCCACACCATCCCTGCAGTCATCAGGTAAAAACCAGGCGTGTTATTCACACATGCTAACACTAGCCAGCGACATATAGGCACTGACTACATATAAGACCTGTGTGGTTCTGAACGCCTAATCATTGAAAATTCATCGTAGGATACTTCCGTGTATGGTGTTAAGCATGTTAACTTTGAACTTAATGTAGCATATAAGCATTTAAAAGTTATAGGCATTTCTGAGTTTATTTTCTTAAAATATTTGGATGGGTAGGGCTTTCCTAGTCAGATGCTTGACATTTATGTTTTTGCCTTATTATTTTTAAGAAGATTAAAAACAGCTGAATTGTGTGTAAGAACTCAAGAACTACTAATGAAAACGTAAAGAAAAAAATCAAATAGACATGGAAACCCTAGACTGGAACCAAGACTCCATCCAATAGAGAATACTAAGGGGAAGGATGGCTTGAAATGAGAAGACAAGAAAAACTTCTGGGGCAGATTCACAGAAGAACTTCATGCAAATAATTAATAAGCTACAATGAAAGTGCAAGGATATAACAGAAAATATGTCCTGGGTTATAACTTTGATTTTGTTTTACTTTTGCTCTTTGTGCAATAACTTTGGGATACTTGACATCTTGCTTAAGTCAACTGAAGGAAAATGCCTACTCACTCCTTTATCAAGAGTTTGACATTATTATGAAACTGTGGCTCTTACCCTCTCACTCCTTATTTTGTTCCAAGGGATATTTTGGGAAGGAAGGAATGAGATTTGAGATCATGCAATCTTGTGTTGAAATCTCACTTCTGCCTTTTATGAGGCACATCACCTAGGCAGATGAGTTGATTTCTATAAACCTTGATTTTTAAAATTATTTGTATATATTGAAGTGTGATTTTGTTACATGGCTATATTGTTTAGTGGGGAAATCTGGGCTTTTAGTGTATCTATCACCTGAATAATGTAAATGGTACCCATTAAGTAATTTCCCATAATCCATTCCCCTTCCCCCCCTCCACCCACCCTTCTGAGTCTCCAATGCCTGTACTTCCACACTCTATGCCCCTATCTGTTTTCCATATGGATTTTCTTATCTGTAAAATGGAGACTGTAGCATCTGTCTTAACTGATATGGACAAATACAGACATCGTTAAGGATTAAATGAGATAAAATACATCAACATAGTAACACCAGTAGACGTTCCATCAATGGGAAAGCTCTCTCCTTCACCTTCTCTAGACCTGTCATGTCCATTTGCATTTTATGCCTTTGCCTTGAATGCTTTGCCCTTCAAGACCAACTTAAATATCACCCCTTCCACGGAGCTTTCTTGAATGAACTAATACTTTTTGATTCTCAAATGCTTTGTATGGTGCTTACTGGTTCCTACAGCCTCCCCTCTAAGATGGGCACCTGCTTCTAGAAAGACAGTCTTATTCAGAAGTCCCCTTTCACCCTACACAGAGCTTTGCACCCAACAGGTGCTCAATAAATGACTGCTGGCTGAACAAATGACCTCTGGCCTGGAGGCAGGCCTGCTGCCATGTCTCTTGCTGTTTTTGCTGAGCCACTTGGGTCTCTGCTCTGCTAAGTGAGGGACCAGGGCAAATAGGTCAGGATTTAATTAACTTGCTGCATGAACTTTGAAAGACCTAGCTCTTACAGTTATTGATTACTGAGTCATCAAAGACATTTCCAGGACAAAAAAGATTTACTGGCAATGGTATAGGAGCAAAGGCTGCTCCTCCTTGGCCTTGCTGTGGGGCCACAGCAGCCCAAGAACGCTGGGGTGGCTACTGCTTTCTATACACAGAGACCACAACACTGGTGCCCTTCACCATGACAGCACCTTGAAAGGACAGTAGAAGGGGAAGGAGAATAGAAGATGTCCTCCCCAAAAAAGCAAGTCTCAAATTTTCCCATCCACGTCCAACCTCAGGAGTTGCTGTCAGCAACAACAAAACAAAGAAATAAAACTAAGGAAAAGGCAGGCATGGGATCCAAGCACAGGGACTCCCACAGATTAGAGAAATAAAGAGAAATCCCAGGACGATGGCTTTGCAACCAGCCTGTTGAATGACAGGTCCAGATGGGGCCAGAAGGATGAGGCTACAGGACAGCCAAACAAATAACAACAAAAATATGACTCATTACCCAGTGGGTTAGATGGTACTGAGGAGAGTTTTATAGTTCTGAACAAGAGGATGACACGTGATAGTTACAGCAAACTAAAGTAATGGAGGGCCAGGGTGAGGGGAGCAATGATTAACTCCAGAAAAAAAACAAAAACTTACACCAGGATTGGAACCCATAATCAGGGTATGACCTATGTGATATAACTACATTGGAAGAATGCAGGAATGAGAAGAGGGGAGTGAAAAGCAAAATCTTTTTCTACAGGAGGAGGTCAATAAATTATTCTGCAATTGACTATAAGAGTTACAGAAATTTAGAAAGAATCACAGAGATGAAGACAAAAGAAGCCACTAAAGAATTGAAAATGGTTGCCTCTGGGAATAGCAATCAGGGGTGGTGAAGGTGAAACAAGATAATGCTCTTTTTTATTATAAACCATGATGTACGCTTTGTCTTTTTATAAACAGACACGTGAATTATTTTAATCAAAAATTTTATGCACTGCTGGAAATAAGTCCCTTTCTCCAAGTGTTCCAGCAGATTCTATGGGTCCTTCTCACTGGAAAAGGCAGAGAAGGATTTCATCAGGACCAAGAGAGACCCCACAGGCCCCCTGCACTGAGGAGTGGACATCTGAAGGGAGACTTCGTCTGAGACGGCTGTTCTGGGAGCCATCCAGGACGTGGGCTGGGGATGACTCAGGGACACACGGTAAGAGAAAGAACCAGCAGCTTTCACCACCCTTCGCAACCAAAAATAGCTCCCAGGTGGCATCAGAGTGTGATATAGATTTGGGTGTTACAGAGACGGCAGACACAATAACCAGGGTGATTGTTCTGAGAAGCTCCAATTTTCTCCCAGATACAGATATAACCTCTAGAAGAGGAACTCAACATTCCACTTGCATTTCTGAATAGTTACTAAGGCAAAATGCTACCAACAAGCAATGCATATACCTGGCCATCTCTGGTACCAGGTATCAAACAACTGGTTTTATGTTTAAATATGAAGATGAACTTTCTTCAACTTCCTCAGAGCCCAGTGAGACTGACTATCATGGTTTCATGTGGTTTCATGTTTTGTTAATGGACAAAGAAGCTAGGGGAACTTCGAAGCCAAAAGACGATGTCAGACAAGGTTAAATATCTGGAGAAAAAGAACTATGTTCCCTTGAGTATGGTACATCAAGCCAAACTTTGAAACCAAGACCAGCTCTTTAAGAAGCTTTCAGTACAAAATCCTTGAGATATACTGGTGCACTTTCCACATGTCTGAAAGGGCAAAACTGAAACTAGGGCTAGTGGTGCTTTTATCCAAGGTTACAAATCTCTACACTAGGCTGAGAGTTTAAAATAACTTCAAAAGAGCCGCCTGCTTCTAAGTGGGTTACTGTTACACAGAAGCCAAATACTAAACTAATAGGAGGACGAGACATTTCACTCTGTAATATTATCTCATCAAAAAATTCCTGGGGATTTAAAAGGGAAACTTCCTTCCTTTTGTTCTTTTGCCACTGTCGGCCAGGGTAGGGTGTCGCTGTGGTACAGAGTCTCACATCAGTCCCAGACCTTTTCTTAAAAGGTGTGGTGGCTAGAACCAAGACTTATAATTTACGTGAAAGAAAGGAAAAAGGACAGACGCACCCATTTTTCTCTTGAATCATAAGGATTTTTTTTCCCTCTTCTATGTACAAAGAAACGGACAATTCTTTTGCTCTTTGAACAAAGAGCCTAAACCTTTTTCTGGATCTAGAATCAAACAGAACCTGAATAATTATTCTCCCTGTTGTCATAGCAATGAAGGGAACTGTGATGGGTCAGAAACTACCCCAGACACCAAAAAGCTGCTGGCTGTTGCTGCTGTTTCACAGAGAATTCCAGCTGGGAACGGCCTGAAGACTGTGGAGTTCTCTCGGCTGAGGACTCTGGCTTTCAGAACACTCGGCTGGAGTCTCCCCCAGTGGGTATCACTTTTTTTGAGAAAAACCAAAAAGAGCCTCTATACCTATTTCATTCCTCTGTACCAAATGCACAACTGAGAAGTGACCTGTCAGAAACTTGGGGAAGCAGGGGGCATTTCAAATCCACCTTTTCTCTTGAGTATCTCCCACGCCCTAGAATTTCATTTTGTCAGAGAATTATGTTAAAACTTACATATGGCCCCATGTATATCTCACGCCTGACTTTACAAACCCTCACTTAGAATGGCTGTTGCTAGTTTCAAATAGATAAGATGCCTCGTAAGTTAAATTTTTTTTTAAGTATCCAGTAGACTATAGAAACCTTAAGCTAAATTAATTCTAAATTCATTCTTGAAGTGACTCAGAGTGACTCATGTGCCTACCAGATGACAAGTATTGTTCTCTACACAGAAATTCACTCACACAGTTTTACTTCAAATTGCAAGGCAACTTATAAAGGACATTTGATCGTTCTTATTATGAAAAGGATTAGGTGCTTAAACACATCAAAGAGTTACTAAATTAAGATGAAATACAATACTATAAAACAACAAATCATTCAAACTACATGATGCTGAACTGAAACTAGAAAAATAAGTGAAAAAAAATTCCAAAGCTATATTAATTTATTTTTTATTCAGACAGGGGTCTCACTTTGTCACCCAGGCTGGCGTGTAGAGGCACAATCTTGGCTCACTGCAGCCAGGACTTCCTCCTGACTCAGTCCCCCAGGTAGTTGGGATTACAGGCATGCACAACCATGCCCAGCTAATTTTTGTATTTTTAGTAGAGACAGGGTCTCACTATGTTGTCCAGGCTGGTCTCAAACTCCTGGATCCAACTCAAGTAACCCACCCACCTCTGCCACCCAGCCTATTCATTTATTTTTTGAGACAGGGTCCCGCTCTGTTGCCCATGCTGGAGTGCAGTGGCATGATCTTCGCTCAATGCAACCTCTGCCTCATTTATATGTTTATAAATGATGAAGCAACATGAGCTAAGTCAATTCCTTTAGGAAAATTAGTGAACTAGATAGTGACAAAGTGGGGCAGAAAGTACTAATGTATTTTTTGAACTTCTCCATATGAGCAGGTACAGAACAAAGATACACTGCAAGGAATGAAATGACTGAGAGTTAAGGGATATATGCAACTAATTTATAGTAAGAAAACAGAATCATCATCCATCTTATTGGTGATGAATACAACAGCAAAATCAGCCAAGTAAACCAGCTCTAAACCCAACTTGGGCAAACACATTCTGGCCATGCTGCAAATTGGCTCAAATTTGGGGGGAAGCGGTCTGGCAATGAGACAATGCCCAAGCTCCGTTATGTCCTTCCCCCACAATTTCATTTTTCAAACAGACCCCGAGGAAATAACCTCAAAGTAGTAATTTTTTTTTTCTTGAGACAGAGTCTTGCACTGTTGCCCAGGCTAGAGTGCAGTGGTGCGATCTCAGCTCACTGCAATCTCTGCCTCCCAGGTTCAAGCGATTCTCCTGCCTCAGCCTCCCAAGGAGCTCGGATTACAGGCGCCCGCCACCATGTCTGGCTAATTTTTGTACTTTTAGTAGAGACGAGGTTTCATCATGTTGGCCAGGCTGGTCTTGAACTCTTTTTTTTTTTTTTTTTTTTTGAGACAGAGTATCGCTCTGTCTCCCAGGCTGGAGTGCAGTGGCCCGATCTCGATCTCGGCTCACTACAACCTCCACCTCCCTGGTTCAAGTGATTCTCCTGCCTCAGCCCCCCGAGTAGCTGGGACTACAGGCGTCCGCCACCACTCCCGGCTAATTTTGGTATTTTTAGTAGAGATAGGGTTTCACCATATTGGCCAGGCTGGTCTCGAACTCCTGACCTTGTGATCCGCCCACCTCGGCCTCCCAAAGTGCTGGGATTACAGGCGTGAGCCACTGCGCCTGGCCTGGTCTTGAACTCTTGACGTCATGATCCGCCCGCCTCGGACTCCCAAAATGCTAGGATTACAGGCGTAAGCCACTGCACCCAGCCAAAGTAGTAACTTTATATGATGAAATCTTCAAGTAGTCCTCCTCTAAACTGTGAAAACTTAGAAAGAAAAAAAAAGTTCCCCCAAAGACTATATAATAAAAACAATGTGCATAATTTATGGGATGTAATGTCACCACAGTAAGATAATAATGAAGACAACATAGTATTAGATGTACAGAATTTTCAGAAAAATTAATGTACAGATTTAAAAATCATATCTGCCTGTAATCTCAGCACTTTGGGAGGCCAAGATGGGAGGATTACTTGAGCCCAGGAGTTTGGGACTAACCTGGGCAACACAGTGAGACCCCTGTCTCTACAAAAATTAAAAAATTAGGTGGCATGCACCTGTGGTCCTTGCTACTCGAGAGGCCAAGGTGGGAGGATTGCTTGAGCCTGGAAGGTTGAGGCTGCAGTGAGCTAGGATCTGGCCATGGCGCGCCAGCCTGGACAAGAGTGAGACTCTGTCTCAAAAAAATAAAAATAAATAAAAATCACATCTGTATCTAGATGAAAACTAAAAGGAAACAAAGAATTTACAAACTTAATGGACTGGAGAGTAAGAATAGTAGGAGATTTTTTCTTTTTTGGATTCTACTACTCATTTAAATCAACATTTGCTAAGCAATGACCTTGTGGCTGGACACCAGGCAAGGAACAGTGATTAAGAGCTGAGCCCTCCTTTACTGTAATGTTGTTTAATCGGGAGTTTGAAAACAATTATAAAATGTATATGCATCTGCTGACAGGACAGGTGACCAAAATTTGAAGCTAACCAGGGCTTTTTCCCATGAATTGGCTCTATGTATAACACGGTTTAAAAGTAACAAATGGCAGTATTAAGTGGCAACATGCATTGTCAAAGAGATGCATTCCAGCCAGGCATCGTGGCTCATGCCTGTAATCCCAGCACTTTGGGAGTCCGAGGCAGGCGGATCACGAGGTCAGGAGATCGAGACCATCCTGGCTAACTCGGTGAAACTCCGTCTCTACTAAAAATACAAAAACAAAATTAGCCGGGCATGATGGTGGGTGCCTGTAGTCCCAGCTACTCGGGAGGCTGAGGCGGGAGGATGGCGTGAACTCGGAAGGTGGAGCTTGCAGTGAGCCGAGATCGCGCCACTGTACTTCAGCCTGGGTGACAAAGCGAGACTCCGTCTCAAAAAAAAAAAAAAAAAAAAAAGAGAGAGAGAGAGATGCATTCCTTTCCCACAATATTTCCTGATATTTGGAGAATTTCTTACAAGGAACCAGTGGGATGTATTGGTTTTTTGTAACCTTGAGTAGTTTTCTGAATGCAAAGGAAGGCAGGCCCTTGAGAGGCAGGTTCATTACCCTCCAGTCAAGATTTTAAGTTCATTCCTTTTTCTTTTTTTTAAATTTCTTTCACTGGAAAAACATAGAAACAAAAATGAAAGAAATAATTCAACATTTGCCAAGTAACCATTCTGAGAAGGGGATTCTCAACACAGTGTTAAGAGCGAGCACTTTAGTGAAGGGCCTAAGGCAGAACCTCTCATTCTCCACTCCCTGATGATGCTGTGCTATGCTGTGGTGTGCTATGATGAATAAGGGCTTCGAGTTGCACTGGCCCACGGTGGATCCCAGTACTGCCTCTTCTGTGTGACCTTAGAAGAGTCATGTAACCTCATCTGAAGGGCAGTCCTGATCCTGCCCATCCTGCTTTTATTTCTGATGTTCAGATACAAAGAGGCCCATGTACCTCTCATGCAAAAAGTAGGGCAATAGACATCATACCAAAAGCATAGGCAACCAAGGAAAAAATAGACAAAATGAACTTCATCAAAATTAAAAACTTTTGTGCTATAAAGGATACCATCAAGAAAGTGTAAAAAAGGCCAGGCACCATGGCTCACACCTGTAATCCCAGCACTTTGGGAGGCCAAGGTAGGAGGATTATTTGAGCTCAGGAGTTTGAGACCAGCCTAAGTAACATAGCAAAACTCTGTCTCTACAAAACGTTTAAAAAATTAGCCAGGTGTGGTGGTACACGCCTGTAATCCTGGCTACTTGGGAGGCTGAGGCAGGAAGATTGAGCCCACAAGTTTGAGGCTGCATTAAGCCATGATGGCTCCACTGCGCTCCAGCCTGGAGACAGCAAGGCCCTGTCTCTAAGAATAAATAAATGAATAATTTAAAGGTATAAAACCCACAGAAGAAAATGTATGCGAACTTTTACAACTCAATAAAAAGACAAACTATTCAATTAAAAATGGGCATAGGATCTGAATACATATTTCTCCAAGAGATATGCAAATGTCAACAAGCACATTAAAAGATGCTCAATATCATTAGCCATCAAGGAAATGCAAATCAAAACCATAATGAGACATCATGTCATACCAAGTGTTGGCTAGAATGTGGAATAATTAGAACCCTCAAACACTGCTGATGGCAACGCAGAATGGAGCAGCCACTTTGGAAAAGAGTCTGGCAGTTCCTCAAAGGCTTAAACATAGAGTGACCATATGACACCCAGCAATTCCACTCCTGAGTATATACCCAAGAGAAAAGAAAACATGGCCCAGAAACTTGTACATGAACGTTCATAGCAGCACTATTCCTAATAACCAAAGAGTGGAAACAATGTGAATGTCCATCAGCCGATGAATGGAAACATCAAGTGTGGTTAACCCACACCACGGAATATTATTTGGCCACAAAATTGAACAGAGTACTGATATATGCTACAACAGGAATAAACCTTGAGAATATGCTGAGTAAAAGAAGCTAGTCACAAAAGTCCACATCTTATATGAGTCTATTACATGAAAGCCCAGAATAGGACAGAGACAGTCGATCAGTGGTTGCCTAGCACTGGGGAGGTAGAAGAATGGGAAGACAGGGGAGTGAGAGTTAAAAGGTACAGGGTTTCTTTCTGAGGTGATTAAAATGTTCTAAAATAGATTGTGGTGATGGTTGTACAACTCTGAATATACTAAAAGCCACTGAATTATACACTTTATATAGGTGAATTATATGGTATGTGAATTATATCTCAATAAAGCTGTTATTAAAGAATTATGCAAATAAATGGTAAATGGGGAGAAAAGGAAAAATATAGTGAGGCAAGACTATCACCAGTGGAGTCATGTGATGAAAAGAACAGGCTGGGCGCAGTGGCTCATCCCTGTAATCCCAGCACTTTGGGAGGCCGAAGCAAGGGGATCACTTGAAGCCAGGAGTTTGAGACCAGCCTCAGCAACATGGCGAAACCCTGTCTCTACAAAAAATACAAAAACTTAGGCAGGTGTGGTGGTGTAAACCTGTAATCCCAGCTGCTTGGGAGGCTGAGGTGGGAGGATTGCTTATGCCCAGGAGTTCAAGGTGACAGGTGACCTATCATGGCGCCACTGCACTCCAGCCTGAATGACAGACAGAGAGACCATCTCTTAAAAATTTCTTATTTAATTTTTAAAAAAGAATGCAGCTGAGCTCCATTACTCCAGGCAATTACTTTATTTCCCCAAGGTTGTTTCCTCATCTGTAAAATAAGAATGGTGCCAGCCCCACCTGAGTGAGATGGCACAAGTCGATGTCCTTAATAAACACACGTCTTACATCCTGTGGGATGTCAGTCTTTATTCTACCACAATTAGGGCGTACGAGGCATGGAAAAGAACCACTTTCATGCTAGCTGTCTTAAAAGGGCATTGTGTCTTAGGTCCTTGGGTGTTTCATGGCCTGGTTCTTAGCCATACCTGAATCAGAAGAGTAAAGTTCCCTTTTTTCTTCATCAAGTCATCTGTTTATGAATTAAAAGCCCATAACTGAGGCTGCTGGTGATAATCAAGTGGTCAGCACTGGAATTACTATGACTTTTGGTTGGGTCATAGAGCTCTATGGTAGACTTGTTGACTCTCTTTTAAGAATGCTGTCATTGTTCATATCCTGAATTCAGTAATTAAAAAAAAAAACATTTTTTTAGAGACAGGGTCTTGCTCTATTGTCCAGGCTGGGGTACAGTGGCACCATCATAGCTCACTGCAGCCTCAAACTCCTGGGCTCAAGCAGTCCTTCCACCTTAGCCTCCCAACTTGCGGGGACTACAGGCTTGTGCCACCACATCCCAAAAAACAAACACAGACTTAATTGAGGTGTTTATATACAATAAACTAATCATTTACTGATAACAATGTGTAGTGAGTTTTGACAGGTGCAGACATCTGTGAAACCACCACCACTATCAAGATACAGAGCATTTTCATCACCCCAGAAAGTTTCTTGTTCCCTGATAGTCCATTTCTTCTTCCACCCCATACCCAGACTATCACCGATCTGATTTCTGTTACTATATAAGTTGGTTTATATTTTCTGGAATTCCACATAAACGGAAACATGATGTATCATGCACTCTTTTTTGGGGGGAAGGGAAGAACCCTGGATCCTTTGATTCAGCATTATGTTCTTGAGGTTCATCCATGTGTCAGTGTTTTGCTGCTTATTGCAGAGTAGTGGTCCACTGTATGGGTGAACCACTTTTCATTCACTCATCTGTTGATGGACATTGGATTGTTTCCACTTTTTCACTATTACAAATAAAGCTGCCACGGATATTTGAGTAGGTTTGCGTAGACAAATGTTTTTATTTCTCTTGTGTAAATACCTACGGGTGGAATACCTGGGTCACATGGTAGGTGTATGTTGAGCTTTATAAGAAACTCCAAACTTTTCCGAAGGAACTGTGCCATTTTGGATTACCAAAAGCAATGTATGGGTTCCCATTGTTCCACTTCCTCACTGACACTTTTTAGTATCAGCCTTTTAATTTTAGCCATTCTAGTGGCACGTAGCAGTATCTCATTGTGGTTTTATTTTGCATTTACTGATGCCCGATGTTGCTGAGCAACTTTTCATGTGTTTATTTGCCATCCCTATCTCTTCTTTGTAAAGTCTCTATTCAAATCTTTTACCTGCTTTTAATTGGGTTGTGTACTTATTGAATTTTCAGAGTTCTTTCTATATTCTGAGTAACAGTCTTCAGTCTTCTTTTGAATCTTACAGTAATTATCATATCTTTGTAGTCGGGTAAGAAGGGCTAATTTTCATTTCATTGTTTAAAACTGAGCTTCCTCCAAAACAAACCTTTTCTGTCATGTTCCTCTTCTCAAGTAATGGCATTTCATTCCTTGGAGTCATCCTTGCTTCCTTTCTCCCCTACCCACATCCAACCCTTCAGCAAATTCTGCCGACTTTACCTACAAAACCTATTCAGAACCCAACCACTTTCCAGCACCTCCCCTGCTTCCACCCTGTACCAAGCCCCCTTCACTTCTCCTCTGGGTTACTGCCAGAGCTCCTAACTGCTCTCCCTCAACTCTTCCACTCCCTGACACTGCCCCTTCCCCAGTCTTTTCTCAAATACAGCAGCCAGAGCAATCCTGTTAAAATATAAGTCATGCCATGTTACTACTCTGTGCAAGTTACCACTGGCTTCCTAGCTGACTTATGAAGCCCTGGAAAATCCTGTGTCTGACCTGCCATGACCTTTGACCCCTCTCTTCTGCCAGTCTCTTTCTTGTTCACCCTGTTCCAGCCACACTGGCCTCCCTGCTGTTCCTCCCACATGCCAGGCCTACCTACCATAGGTTTTTTGCACTTGCTCTTGTTCCCTCTGCCTGGAATAATCTACCCTCACTAGGCTTGACTCTGTCCTTAACCTCCTTTACATATCACCTTCTGCTCAGTGTATAAGTTTATTTTTGATTCAGTTTCCCTCCCCTCCATTCCAAACATCAAATACAAAAAGAAAATGAAAGGTGTAAATTATGCTTAAAAACAAGATAAACATATCTACGGGGGAAAAAAAGAACAGAACAGAATAAAGCAAAGATGAATGCTGAAGCCACAGTCCCGCTGTGCTTTGAGTCTGAATGTAGGTGGTGGTGCTGGGAGCTCTATTCTGGTGGACTGGGAACTAAAAGTAGCCCAAGTGGGGCGGGATGGGAGCCACTGTCCTTACTTAAAACCAAAGTTTGGGCTAGGCTGCCCCAGCTATGAAAGGAGACTGAAAACATCTGACAATTACAGCTCACAGTGAAGCCTAGGATGTTACGAAGAAGCATGTACAATCTACAGCCTGCATGTGGGCCAAGACCACATGGAGGTATGAAGACTGAAGTTTATCTGTGTCTGTATGTCCTGGTGGTCCTGACATGTCACTATGAGACCTGTTATAGGCTTACAGGTCCTTGGAGAAGTAAACACAAGGCTGTTGGGGGAGGGATGGCACAGAGAAGACCATTTCCTCCAAACGAACTCTGACTCCGTGAGTTTCCAAACCCAATTTCCAAAATACCAAAAGAAAACTAACTCAAGAAGACAGCCAACAAAATCGACACTGGGGGGTTAATTTATTTGAGATTAAATGAAAATAGGGCAGTCTGACAATGACTTTATTTTTTTGGAGACGGAGTTTCACTCTTATCGCCCAGGCTGGAGTGCAATGGTACAATCTCAGCTCACGGCAACCTCCGCCTCCCGGGTTCAAGCCATTCTCCTGCCTCAGCCTCCCAAGTCGCTGGGATTACAGGCGTGTGCCACCATGCCCGGCTAATTTTGTATTTTTAGTAGAGACAGGGTTTCACCATGTTGGCCAGACTGGTCTTGAACTCCTAACCTCAGGTGATCCACCCGCCTCAGCCTCCCAAAGTGCTGGGATTACAGGTTTGAGCCACCATACTCAGCCTGACAATGACTTTTAAATGTATGTTTTAGGAATTATGGGAGATGCAAAAAGGAATTATAGCTATAAGAAAGAATAAGGAAATATAAAACACAACAGGCAGAAAGGAAATAATACATGGATATTTTTAAAAAAGAATAATGTATATATGCTAGAAATGAAAAACAGACATTGAAATTAAATTTTAAATGATAATCCAAACTGGACAAAGATGGAGATAGGATTAGTGAACTGGAAGACATGCTGAGGAAGTCACCCAGAATGCAGTAGAGGAAGAAGAAAAATAGTAGTTAGTGACACAGAGGGCAGACCTAAGCCTCTAACACAGCTTTGATAGCTATCCAGGGGAAGGGTGTTGGAGTGGTGGCAGACCAACCCTATTCAGAAAGATGAAGGCTGTGAACTTTCCAGAAGTGAAATAAGACATAAGTTTTCAGATCAAAAACAGAGGGCTTTGCTCCACTATATATATAGTTGTGTTTTTTTCTTTTTTTTTTTTTTTTTTGAGACACGGTGTCACTCTGTCACCTAGGCTGGAGTGTAGTGGTGCGACCTCAGCTCACTGTAGCCTCAACCCCCCTGGGCTCAAGCGATCCTCCTGCCTCAGCCACCTGAGTAGCTGGGACTACAGGTGTGTGTCATTATGCCTGGCTAGTTTTTGTTTTTTTGTAGAGATGGGTTTCACTATGTTGTCTAGGCTGGTCTTGAACTCCTGGGCTCAAGTGATCCACCCACCTCAGCCTCCCAAAGTGCTGGGATTACAAGCATCAGCCACCGCACCCAGCCTCAACAGGATATATTAAATCCATAAATTCACCCCTAGGTATGTCGCAGTGAAACAGCCCAATACAGGATAAAACAAGTTTCCAAAACTAACAGAGAAGACAGATGATCTGTGAAGGAGTAACAATTCAAAGGTAGTCTTTTCTTTTCTGTCCACGGTTCTACTTCACTGAAAGCCTTAATCCTAAATACAGTTACGTGTCACCTCATGACAGGGGTCATGTTCTGAGAAATATTAGGCGATTTTGTCACTGTGCAAACATAAGAGTGTGGTGACACAAACCTGGATGCAATAGCGTACTACACACCTAGGCTGTACAGTATAGCCTATGACTCTGAGGCTACAAACTTGTACAGCATGTTACTGTACTGTAGTCAACTGTAACACCATGGTAAATATCTGTGTATTTAAACATATCTAAACATAGAAAAGGTACAGTAAAAAATATGGTATAAAAGATTTTTAGGCTGGGTGCAGTGGCTCACGCCTGTAATCCCAGCACTCTGGGAGGCCAAGGTGGGTGGATCACCTGAGGTCAGGAGTTCGAGACCAGCCTAGCCAACATGGTGAAACCCCGTTTCTACTAAAAATACGAAAAAATTAGATGGGCGTGGTGACAGGCACCTGTAATCCCAGCTACTCAGGAGGCTGAGGCAGAAGAATCACTTGAACCCAGGAGGCAGAGGTTGCAGTGAGCCGAGATTATGCCACTGCACTACTGCACTCCAGCCTGGGCAACAGAGCGAGACTCCATCTCAAAAAAAAAAAAAAAAAAAAAAGATTTTTAAAACTATGTGCCTGTAACTTAGGCTACACTAAATTTATAAAAAATACTTTCCTTTCTTCAATAATAAATTAACCTTAGCTTACTGTAACTTTTTTACTTTATAAACTTAATTTTAACTTTTGACTTTTGTAATAACACTCTAATAAGAAACACATTGTACAGCTGTAAAAAAATTTCTTTATATCCTTATTTCATAAGCTTTTTTCTATCAAAACTTTTTTTTTTACTTTTTTAAACTTTTTTTGTTAAAAATTAAGACACACACATTAGCCTAGGCCTACACAATGTCAGGATCATCAATGTCACTGTCTTCTGTGTCCATCTTGTCCCACTGGAAGGTCTTTAGTCGCAGTAACACACATGAGCTGTCATCTCCTATGATAATAATGCTTTATTCTCGAATACCTCCTGAAGGACCTGCCTGGGACTATTTTACAGCTAACTTCTTTTTTAATAAGTAGAAGAGTACACTAACATAAAAAATACAGTAAATACTGAGTGATAGAAATTTTTCAGTTCCATTATAATCTTTACGGAACCACTGTTGTATATGCAGTCTGTTGTTGACTGAAACGTCATTATGCGACACATGACTATAGGCAGTAGTTTTCACTCTGTTCACTCTGTTGCATTTCAAACATTTCATTTTTAATGTTTTTCCCCTTTCGTTAGACAAGGACCTGAGATCTTTGCAGAGGGCGGAATTAGGCTTTTGCCAGTCAGGGCTTTAGGAAAACTATCTGAAAGTAGACAGGAGATGCAGCGGGAAAATCACCAATTTATGGAGTGGGTGGAGTTTGCTTGCAATGTAGGTGCAATGGGTGGATTTATTATGCAGTAAAGTCACCAAGTTTACACTGTTTCAAGAAATCAAGGGGTTGAGGTATAAAACAGTAACAATACATCAAATACTAGCCTGAAAAATAGTATTTCTCTCTCTCTTCCTACAAAATGTGACCACCATTCTGAATTTGGCATTTTCATGTCCACTGTCACATCTAGCTTATTCTGTCCAGCATTTGGCTAAATGTATTACCAACACTTGCGTATTCCTAAATTGGGGCCTTTGACTTATGAGACAGCTTTTGAAGTTTGTCCTTCTCCTTAACTACAAACCAAGTACATATTCTACCACCTGCAAACCAGATCACTCATCACTTTCAGAGTCTTCTCTATCTAGATCCCTGCCAGCCCTTCTGTCTTGTTGTTTCCTTCTACTCAGGCTCAACCTGATACTAAGATATAGGAGACCAGAACTGTTCTCAGCACTTAGACTGGATAAAATGTTACTTTCTTTTCAGCAGCAAAGTGTGGGAACGTGGCTGATGTCCACTGAGGCAGGGTGGTTAAGAACCCAGGCTCACAGCCTGCCTGGGTTTAAATCCCAGCTCTGCCACTAACTTGTATGTGACCTTGAGCAAATTTCTGAACTTGGCTTCCTCATCTACATAAAAAAAGAATATCTACTTCAAAGGTAGTTGTAAGGGTCAGATGAGTTAGCCTATAAAACTAGCAGAACAGTGCCTGGAACGAGGCAAGCACATAGTAAATGTTAGTGGCTGTTATTTTCTGTTTTAGTAGTTGTGTCGGGGACGGCTATGGAAGTATAACATACATTATCTCCAATCTTAACAACAACCTTATAATGTCAGTATTAGTGTCCTCGTGTGTGGCTGATGCAACAAAGATGGAAAGAATTCCAGCTGTGCTAGGATGGCTGAGCCAGGTGGCACTGGTCTGCATGGGTCTAAAGCTTTGCTGGTTGCCCTCGGTCCTGCTCCCTTCTCTTTTGACAGGCCCTGGGAACCAGCTCTATCCTTTTGGCCTAAAGCTTTGGCGCAGTTGAGGTGAGAGTTGGGCACACCCTCTTTTCAAGCATACGAGACAAGGCAAGGCCAAGACCTTACTAATTCGGCTGGTAAAGGTATCACAAGCCACTTTTGGATTCAGGCAGTTTATTACTTACATAGACAGCAAAAGAAAGAGTAGCCAAAGGTGCCAGCTCCCCACGGCTTTGTCCTTCATACCAAAAATTATGACCTTGGAACAGAAGGGGCCAGATGACCGCAGCGTGAGCTGCGGGATGCCCTGTTGCTGAGGAGTCCACTTGAGACTGTAGCTAAGCAGCTTTACCTTCTGCAGCTCTATTCTGAGGGGGCTGGAGTACAGAAGTTCATCCTCATCAGAACCTGAGGGGTGATGAGACACTGTCTCACGACAGCCTCCCAAGAGATAGGAGGTGGGTGGGAGATGGCCTTGAAGTGTACCTTAGGATCTTCCTGTCCTCTCCTGTTCCAGGAGGATCACAGGTACCTGAAAGCCTCCTGTGAACTGTGGTTCAAGCCTCTGTCTGCATGGCCTCTGGATACACTCGAGGATGTTGTGGCTGAGTTGTTCCCCTCACCCCTCTGCCCCTGGCCCAGGCTCAGCCTCTGAATCCTTTGACCTGAAGTGCTTTGATCCCCTAATCTGACTTCTCCCCTGGTCTATATCAAGGCTGGTGAGCTTTCTAGGAATAAATGTCAAATTTATCCAACTGGATGAAGACCTTTGAGGATAGAGACCCACACTGAATATACTTTTTTGTGTCTTTTACACATAATACACATTCATACAACATGGACTTGCCCTCACTTAGAAACACAATCAATATAGGTTTCTTGGTATGTGAACTTAGAGCCGCCTGGTTTCTTTAGTCGGTTGCCTCAAAATTTGACACTGAAAAAACCTGTCCATCCATCTGACAGCTACTCATTCTAAAAACTGAGTAGCTGAAGACTCCTGGAGCTTGTCCCTCATCCCCGGCAACCTGGCAGTCACTCCCCTAGGTGCACTAGAATGTAGGTGGGTTGGTAGTAGTAACACAAAACACAGAAGTGCAAAAAGTCCACAGGATCTTCTTCTTTCTTTTCTTTTTAACCATCCGTCTCTGGCATTAGATGCTGGGTACTGTGCTAAGCTTTCAAGGTGCCCTGTTGCTGATGAGTGTGGGTTTAGGGAGTGGCTTTAATGAAACCAACCAGGACAGATCCAGCCTGGGTTATGACCTTCCCAGTCCACTCTTCTTTGAGCAGCAACTTTTATAAGCAGATGTAATCAGGCATAGGTAGCTTAATGAGGTAAAGAATAGTCAAGAAACTGTCCTAGCTTGTGCTAATAATTCCTGATACATAGTGGCTGTCTCCAAGGAGCCCAAAGCACAGCTCAGACATTATGTCATTAATCCTCCCAAAACCCCCAAGAGGTAGGCAGGTGGCAGGCATTCCCCCTGCTCCAGGATCAGAGAGAATGGGGCCCTTATGCCACTTGCCCAAGGTCATACTGGGTGGCAAAGCCTAACAAATAATTTATTGCTTTTAACGCTTGAGCCTGTGGTTTTTTTCCCTCCCTACCCCCCTCTCCTGCGATTAACAGCAATATTTTAATCAGGTGATTTTCATCTAGTGCATCTCTTCCTAAAGGGCTATTGGCTCTTTCCCTTCATTTGGAAACTCACCAGGGCAATTACAGAGAAGCAGGGGATGCAATGAGGTGAATCTGTAGCCTGTGGCTATAGCCTGTGAGCCCTTAAAGAACCCAAGTCACTGTCTCCCTCTCTGGGGCCCTCTGCCCATTCAGGATTCATCTCTGTGTCCTGCTTTCATGCACTCTGTGTGTTGGGTTTCCTGCTTCATTACATGGTCTTGAGGACCTTAAATGGGGTTAGCTCCAGTCCCACCCAACTCCCCGTTTAGTGTGTCTCCTGTGAGACCACCATCATTTGCATCCTGTTCACAGTAGTATTGGGCCCCTGGCCAGAGCCCTTTTGCCTTTGGTAGCACACTCTAATCTACCCAACCTTCCATTCAACAGTCTTACCATCCATTCAGGCCATGTATATGGTGAAGTCACAAAATAACCCTCTTTGTTTAGTCTTTCCAAAAGGATGTTCAGGGTACAAGCCACTGTGCATAAAACGGCTTCCTTCAATGCATTTGAACTAAGAGCAGACCCCTGCCTATAACACTGCACTGAGCCTTTTATTCTTGCAAACTAAAGAATGTACGTACCAAATTTCAGCCAGAGACCAGCAACCACAACACAGAACATTCTTAAGAATGGAGGCATCAGTATGGCAGCTCATTCCTTCATATAGGAGCTTTTTGGGCTGCAGCTGTCCTCCCCTGCATACCTCCCCAAATACAGGCATGTATCCTCATGGGTAGACATTGAGGCTGACACACACAACAGTGTAAATGACTAATGACACATGGAGCACTCCATCTATAACTATGGAAGAAATGATAACACAGTGGCTCCAGATCCTATCATGGCCTGCCTGTAGCACCTCTACGAGAGTCAGTATAATAGCTAGAATCAGGGGTTCTCTCTCTGTGAAAAACAAGTGACTGCTTGTGCCTTTTGGAGAGCTGACCCAGAGAACATTACAGTATGGCCTGAGATAAGCATAAGTATCACAGACAACTTCATTGCACCCCTCTGCACTCCAAGCCTACCTTGTAAGGTCAAAGGTTACACAGAAGTTACAAGTTAGAAGTTACAGAGAGTCAGAGGTTACAGAGAAGTCACTTAGCTGAGACAGCAGCTTTAGGCTAGTGCTGTCCAACAGAACATTCTGCAATAATGGCAATGTTCTGTTTCTATACCAGCAATGTAGGAGCTACAAGCCACATGTTGCTATTGAGCAGTTGGGATGCGGTAAATGCAAACCGAGAACTGAATTTTAAGTTTTACTTAATTAACTCAAATTTAAATAGCCACATTAGGCTGGTGACCACTGTGTTAACCTCAGACTCTGAAATCTAATACTTCCCTATATTCTCAAGGAAGAAAGTCCACATGTATTCTTACCCTATTCTCCTCAAGATATCTTAAAGTCAGGACCAGCTTGAATCAAGAAGATAAAGACATATGTTTGATGCTACTGAGGAAATGTTGTTTTTAAAAGATTTAGTTTTTAATAGCAGTACCATGCTGTGCAAAACAAAATAAAATACCACAGGAAGTCAGCAAGGAAGGTCTTTTGGGGTCAGATACCAGTGGGTGGTCAAGTAACATGGAGAAACTCAAATAGCAACGGTGAGAAGCTCAGGCTGCCATTAATTTCACTGTGTGTCTTGGGTAAAGCATTTTTTTCCCCTCTGGACCTCCATTTCTCAACAATAAATAGATTTAACCATCTGCCCTTTCTAATTCACAGAGTTGTTGGAAGGAAAAGGTAAAGTAGACTAAAGAGTATCAAATGCTACTTATTTAATAAAACCAAGATGTCATACTAAATTCACCTAAGTCACTAGGAGGTCCTTATCCCCCATTCTCCTGCCTGCCCATCTTCTGCCCCATCCATTCTTCATGGTCCAGCTCTTGCCCCATTGCCTCCACATGATCTTTCTAGAACCCTCCAGCTCACTATCACTGTTTCCTCTGAATACTGTCCATATTTTGACACTTTAAGCTCAACTATCACATGTGTGTTCTTGTCCCAATGGGATGGGATGTCAACCAATAGCTCTGGATTAAATGAGATAATGCATGTGCTATGGTTTGAATGTATATGGCCCTCCAAAATGCACTTTGGAACTTAACCCCCAAGGTGATGGTATTAAGAGGTGGGGGGCCTTGGGAGGTGATTAGACAGTGTGGGCTCTTCCCTCATGAACAGATTAGTGCCCTTATAAAAGGTCTTGAAGAAGAGTTGACCCTTTTGTGCCATCTTGGAAGGAGAAAGTGAGCCTTCAGCAGAAACCAAATCTGCTGGCACCTTGATCTTGGACTTTCCAGCCTCCTCAACTGTGAGAAATAAATTTCTTTTATGAATCACCCAGTTTCAGGTATTTTGTTAGAGCAAAAGGAACAGACTGAGATAGTATGTCACATAATAAAACTTTATGTTAAAAAGATAAACAGCAACATGATAAATTGAGATGATGTGGTTAAGTGAGCCACTAGGCAGAAGCCAAGGATGATGTAGCTTCTACACTTAGAATGACTGAGAACAGCCAGGGAAGAGTGATCGGCTGGGAAACCCTACTAGTGGAATTGGAATTGCTGGGGATCCCTCCAAGAGGAAGTAAGAATGAGCAGGAGCCTGGCAGGTAATGGGCTCCAATCTGAGACTCAGAACAACAATGCAGCCTCCCCACTCGGAACTGGAAACGACCCAGTTTCAAAAGGGGGCAGTAAACAGGCCCAAAGATGAACTCATTGCCATTTCCTTCCAACCAGCTGCCCAACTATCCCTTTTTAAAAATATAGCCCCTATCAATATGACCCAAGAGCTACAGGATTTGAGAACCTTGAGTTCAGGATGGCAGTCCCAGACCTCCCTGCTAGATCAAATTTATCAGCTGCACTGTTGCTCAAATTAATTAACAGTAGCTCTCCAGCTACTGCCACCATAGCAAACAGCTCTGGGATGCCACTGAAGATCCCCAGTGGGGACTGATTGGGAAGGGACACCAGGGAACTTTCTGGGCTGATGGTCATGTTGTTCTCTATCTTGACAGGGGTTGGGTCTCACAAAGGGACTCATTTATTAAAAACCCATGAGACAGTACACTTAGGATTTGTACATTTCACTCCATGTAAAGTTTATCTCAAAGAAAAAAACATAAACGAAAAATGCACAGTCCAGCCACACATATAACTCCCATCAGAATCTCTGGGGTTGGGACCCAGACTCTGGTTTTTTAACATGCTTCCCAGGTGATTCTGATGAAGATGAACTTCACAGAACACCTTGAAAATGACTTGCCCAGACCAAAGAAAACAGGCCAAGAACAGATAAAGAACATATTCAAATTAGCTTCTCACTTTCTATCTGAACTAAGTATCTCAGTCTGCTCAGGCTATCATAACAAAGTACCCTAGACTGGGAGGCTTAAACAACAGAAACTTATTTTCTCACAGTTCTGGAGCTGGGAAGTCCAAGATCAAGGTGCCACTGAGGCAGGTTTCACTCTGAGGCCTCTTCTCTTAGCTTGTGGTGGCCACCATTTCCCTGCATGCTCACATGACCTGTTCTTTGTGCATACAAGGGGAGAAAGAGAGAGCAAGCTCCCTGGTGTCCCTTTTTATAAGGGCACTAAGCCCACTGTGAAGGTCCCACCCTCTTGACCTCATCTAACCCTAACTGCCTCCCATAGACCCCATCACCAAATACCACCACCGTGGGAGTTAGGGCTTCAACACAAGAATTTGGTAGAGAAATGAAATGAATATTCGGTCCATCATACTTGTCTACATGACAGAAATCACAACTCAAGATTCTCAAGAGTTACTGGGAATTACCATATGAAATGGCTAGTTTCCTGATTTTATTTACAAAAATGGCACTTGTGTATGTTCTACTTAATATTACTGTGGTAACATGATGGTATTACTTCTAGACACAAGCATGTGCCTTGGTGAATGAGTAACTTCTTAAGCCACAGATGGGCATAATCTTATTTGAAAGAGGTCTTCCCAGGCCAGAGGTTCATCTCCAACCCGAACTAGACTATTCCTCCAGAAAGACAGAAGAAAAGAGAAGGAGGAGAGGAGGCGCAGCAGCTAATGGGCAGTCATAAGGTGTGGCAGTCATAAGGTGAGGTGTTCACCTACCCACCTGGGTTCCACAGCTAAGGGGACACTTCCCACAAAGGGAGCCATGGGCTGCTGGGTCAGATGCTCATGCAAGCTGAGCTGCCTGCCTTCTTCCTCCAAGAAAAATGGCCTTGTACTTTCTTGTTTCTGAGCTCTAGCTTTGCAACAAAACCAGAATTCTCACCCAAGGCTGCAGGACAAAACTTGAGAAGCAATTCAGCCTTTCCTTGAGAAGGATGAGAGTATGCAAAAGGTTAATTTTCACAAGCACTTGTGATCAGGAGAAATTTCATACCAGAACGGGTGCTCCCTCCCAAGTGACTCCATTCTTCTCTGCTGATGAAGTGAGTCTCATCTTGCCAAGCCTCCAGAGTACCATTTAATCTTTGCTGTAAGACGCAAGGACTAAAAGTACCAGATGCAATTCATTCGGTTCTGAACAGAGAGTCACTTGTTTACTCTGAGCTAAGACAGAAGCTGAACTGGGAAGTATGTCTAATGAAGTCTAATGAATCACCTTCCTTGGGTGATTGGTACACAAGGAGGGGAGGAGAACCAAATGAGGCCAGTCATGAGCCTGAGGCTCCTGGTGTCCTCTGTACTCCAAAAGGGCCACTCTTATACCCTCTCTCCGTCAGTGGCAATCATTTCCAGTGTTCGGTCTTTACAACTCATAATTCAGGTCACATCCACTTCCTCCCTGTGAGGTGGGCAGGAGAGTGATTACTGCCCCATGGGATGATAAGGAACCTGGGCTCAGGAGGTCATAGACCCAAAGAAACAGTCAGCTGGACCCATGTTCAAAAAGACACTCTAACACCGCCCGCCACCTCAGTTAATGCTCTTAATCACTGTATCATATACCTTTCCCTCCCCTAAAGGAGGGGAGTGAGAGAAAACCAACTGTTTTATCCATCTCCAAATCTACTGATCACTGCTTTATTGCCTGCCCAGTGGACTACTCAAATAGTTGTTGATAGACCAAGTGGTTACTAAGTTTCAGAAAAGACAAAACTCATTGTTCCATGAATTGCAACCTTAGCTGTTATTAACAAGTGGACAGAAGAGAAGAGTTATGCTTTTCTTTTGAGACGGAGTCTCGCTCTGTTGCCCAGGCTGGCATGCAGTGGCGCAATCTCAGCTCACTGCAAACTCTGCCTCCTGGGTTCACGCCATTCTCCTGCCTCAGCCTCCCGAGTAGCTGGGACTACAGGCACAAGCCACAACGCCCGGCTAATTTTTTTGTATTTTTAGTAGAGACGGGGTTTCACCGTGTTAGCCAGGATGGTCTCGATCTCCTGACCTTGTGATCCGCCCGCCTCGGCCTCCCAAAGTGCTGATTGATTACAGGCTTGAACCACCGCGCCCAGCAAGAGTTATGCTTTTCAAAGCATCCTTCTTGGCTCTTCACTCCCACAAAGTTCTCCAGATCCAAAACTGCACACAACATTTATTTCCCACCCCTAATCACGGTACAGTCTCAAGAAACTTCACTGGATTCAGTGTAATGTCCAAGGTCTCAAAAAGAACAGTCATTGGCCGGGCGTGGTGGCTCACACCTGTAATCCTGGCACTTTGGGAGGCCGAGGCGAGCGGATCACAAGGCCAGGAGTTTGAGACCAGCCTGGCCAACATGGTGAAACCCCGTCTCTACTAAAGATACAAAAAATTAGCTGGACATGGTGGTGTGTGCCTGTAGTCCCAGCTACTTGGGAGGCTGGGGCAGGAGAATTGCTTGAACCTGGAAGGCGGAGGTTGCAGTGAGCCAAGATCATGCCATTGCACTCCAGCCTGGGCGACAGGGCGAGACTCTGTCTCAAACAAAACAAAACAAAACAAAAACTGTCATTATTATCCAATCAGAAAGCAATTTGGAAGTTTAGAAACTCGTTCAGTAAATTTACTGGGCACCCTCTGGGTAACATACATGCATTGTGACAGGTGCTGTGAGTGACACAGTGAAGAGTGAGGCCAAGGATCCAACTGTGGAGTGGTTCTAGATGATAATCCTCAGTTTGGAATTTTGTAACTATGAGTCTCATCTCATAACCAGTGCACCACAGTAAAATCTCAGGACTACAAAAGCCCTTGACAAAGACAGAATGTAAGAAGTACTGTCCTGGCTCGAAACCATAAAACTTAAGGGTTGTAACAGACTCAGAGATGCTCTGTGTAAATCTACACTGCTTTGTCATTCTACTTCCAAATGGAGACAGCCTTGAACAAAAAGCCCTGCATTCTGCACAATAGGCACGTTATCTTCTCTAGACTGAATTCATATCCACCTTCTTAACAAATCAAGATATGCTAGGCCAGCCAAGACTCCTGGTGGCCCTGGACCCCACAATCAGCTGCTTAGACCCCTGTGGCTACATTTTGGGAAAAGAGCCATGCTTATTAGGCCTTATTTTTCCTCCAGAATTGACCCAGGCTGATTCCAAAGCCCTCTGGGACTGTTTATACCCAGGGCATGAGGCAATGGAGCCCCTCCTGGACAGGAAGCCCTGCCACACCAAGAGAAGTCTCAAGAAGCAGAAATGCCTCACTCAGTTCTCAGCTCTCTTGCAGATGAAGTCAAAGCAGGAGTAGAGGAAGTCCTCTACACTGACCTGCTTTCAGCAACTAAGTAATTTTTTGCTCAGCTCAAGGTCCAAAAAGGGACAGGGAAACTGTCTTTGTCAGACCAGGTGGCTTCAAAGGACTGAAAGGCAGACCCCTTTCTTTGCAGACGAGTCCCTCTTCCTGTAGGAGAAAAGGCAAAACTAGCTTCTCCAAATTCTCCATGCTGCATTGTCAGTCACAAACACACAAAAAACACCAGCCCTGGACAAGAGAATGGAAGAAGAGTTAGGAGATGCCCTTGATGGGGTTTCATTCGATGCAAAAGGATGCAGCTTTAAAAAAAAAAAAAAAAAAAAAAAAGGAAATGGAAACAAAGGCCATTCGGAAAATCTAAAACATGCCACCAGCATGCCCACCTCACAAGGAAAGCCAAAACTATCCATCACCCTCTCTACCTTATCCATACTACATGCCTGTCCAGTGCCTTCTATTTCAGGGAAGGCCCCACACATCACATTACTAGCCTACTCCCATCCCAGAAAGCAGCCTGCAATGAGCACACTCCCTCCTTGAAGGTGACATCTGCCAGGCCAGACATCCCCGTCGCCAGCCATCTCTGCAGCACTCAACATGCTCTACTGGTGACAGAACCACCTCTCCCTCAACCAGATGGGGCAACTTGCTCCTAGAGGGGATAATCCTCCGCACCCCCACATCCTGTTTGGTTTGTGGGACACCTCAACAGGATGTTAGTGAGGCAAACGAGAAGATGGCTTACTGATGTGGTTTTCTTTTGAGACAAGGTCTCACTCTGTCATCTAGGCCAGAGTACAGTGATGTGAACCTGGCTCACTGCAGCCCGGACCTCCTGGGTTCAAGTGATCATCCCACCTAGGCCTCCCAAGTAGCTGGAACCACAGGCACGAGCCACCATGCCTGGCTCTTTTTTTTTTTTTTAATAGAGACAGGGTCTCGCTATGTTGCCCAGGTTGGTCTTGAACTCCTGGGCTCAGGTGATCCTCCCACCTCAGCCTCCCAAAACATATGGTTTTCCAACGTCTTTAGTAGTAAAAGTCCTTCCCATAATCCAAACCTTAAGTAACACTTCAGTGCGTGAGACCAACCAAAGCACAGCTATGCTGAGTGAGGATGCTGCTCCACAAAACATGATCCAAAAACTATACACCACATTCATGTTTCCCAGAGGGTAGGCCAGGAGTCCACTGCTGATCCACAGAGGCTGCAAGGTGGTACACAGGAGGACTTTTTAAAACAACAGACATTTATTCATTTTAACATGGGTTGGAAAAACATAACTAGCACAAACTCTTGATAATATTTCCTTTAAAAAACTACCATTTTAAAGGGGCTCAGCATGGTGGCTCATCCCCATAATCCCAGCATTTTGGAAGGCTGGTGAAGGAGGATCACTTGAGTGATCCCAGGAGTTCAAGGCCAGCCTGGGCAACACACCAAGACTCCATCGCTACAAAACATTTTAAAAAATTAGCTGGGTGTGGTGGCACGTGCCTGTAGACCCAGCTACTCCAGAGGGTGAGGCAGGAGGATCATTTGAGCCCAGGAGGTCAAAGCTGCAGTGAGCCATGATTGCACCACTGTACTCCAGCCTGGGCGACAGAACAAGACCTTGTCTCAAAAAAAAAAAACAAAAAAAAAAAAACACCAAAAATACCATTTTCCACCAAACCTGTGATGCCATCAGCCATTATATCTTTTAGTGGACAAGAAAAAAATTAAACCAGGACATTTCACAGATTTTAAGATATTATCCCACAGTGCCCAGCATATGGTGGCTCACGCCTGTAATCCCAGCACTGTGGGAGGACAAGGTGGGAGAATCCCTTGAGCCCAGGAATTCAAGGCCAGCCTGGGCAACACGGTGAAACCCTGTCTCTATAAAACATACAAAAATTAGTTGGGCATGGTGGCACACACCTGTAGTCCCAGCTACTCAGGAGGATTGCTAGAGCCCAGGAGGTAGAGGCTGTGGTGAGCCATGGTCATGGACTGCACTCCAGCCTGGTCAACAGAGTGACTCAAAAAAAAAAGACATTCTAATTTCAGAGATGATATACAAAAACAAGAAAAGCATCCAAGAATCAACAAGATAAGTTATTCCTGTTTTAAAAACTGTCACTTTTAAAGAAAAACACTAAATAAATGACTGCTGTGGACTGAATTGGGTCTCCCCAAAAGTCATATTTTGAAGCCCTAACTCCCCCAATATGCACTTGGAGATGCGTGGGGTCTTTGGGAGGTAATTAAGATTAGATAAGGTCCTGAGGGCAGGGCCATCATGATGAGATTAGTACCCTTCTAAGAAGAGATGCCAGAGAGCTTGCTCACTCACTCACACTTTCTTCGCCACAGGAGGATACAGCAAGAAGACAGCTCTGTGAGCCAGGAAGAGGGCCCTCACCAGAACCCGACCATGCTGGCACCCTGATCTCAGACTTCCAGCACCTAGAACTATGAGAAATAAATGTCTGTTTAACCACACAGTCCATGGTATTTTGTTACAGCAGCCTGTGCTGACCAAGACAATGACTACACAGCTGGCACGCAGATATGGCAGAAACTGTGAAGGTCCTAAGAATGAAGAAGTCATGAAAAAAAACACACACAGAGTGAGCCGTGTGCCAGGCCCTGTCCTAGGTGCTTTATATACATGGACATATTTAATCTTAAAAACAACCCTATGGTGTGGAACCACAATCGCCCCATTTTCAGAGCAATCAATGGCAGTCAATGGCAGTGGGTGACCTGTCCAGTGTCACATACAAATAAGTGCCAAGGTGAAAATTCCAGCCTAGCACAAGGCCCACAGGTCCCAGGTCCCTATTCTGAAGCACAATGCTACATGGCCTCTCCAGAGTACTCCAGGTAAAACCATGGGAAACTGCCAATATCCAACAATTTCTGATCTACAAAAATGGCAAGGTCATAAGATTCAACCTAATATAAGTACCATTTGTAAAGTGTCTGATTAATGATTGATGCCTAACTGGCCTTAGAGAAATATCCTTTCAGGATATATGGGAACCTTGGTCGTTGATGGCATGTCACTAAGCTCAGTTGAAGCCCTGAAACTTGAAAGGTTCTAATGTTTAACTAAAGTCCCTTTCATGTTCTTTACTCATATTCCAGTCTCCAGAGTCAACTGAAGGACAAGAACACTTGGAGGAGAAAGAAGTCAACAGGAGAAACACAAGCACACTCTTTTCCTAAACTTCAGGGTTGGCCTCCAGGCGATTTTAAAGCAACTTAAGAGACAACTAATAATTCTCCAGATTGATTTCTCACAGGCTGTGGCCTCACAACTCTGTCAAGCAGTGGCTGAGGGGCTGGAGGAAAAGCCGTACCTAGAGTTGGCCGAGTACTCCTCAAGATGAATGATCTGGTTTAAAAACATGGAATAACAAGGGTATGGCTAGGATACGTTTTGAAAAGTAATTCCATATTAATGCACCCAAGAAACAGGAACCTTCACCTACCATGCCTTCCCTGCTAGCACCTGCACATAGCACTGCACGCTGCCTAGGGCCCTTGACACCCTGGTCTAATCCACACTCTAAGATGAATGGGGCCCCTGCAGTTATGCAACATGCTGGCTCCTCCTGCAAGTAAGTAGGGAAATATCTCAGGTTTCTAATAACACTGGGAAGATACCCAAAGAAGATCTGAAGTTAAGCAGAAACCTGATACACACTGTGATCATCACAAAGGCAGGCAAGGGAAAACCTGGATTTTAGAAAAATGCTGCCTTATCCTGAAACTTAACTCAAAAGACCTAATAGTCAAGGACTCTCCATAGGTTAATACTCCTGGCTCTCATACCAGCAGACTCAGACACAGGAACCTCTTTTATTTCTTTGTAACTTCCAAAGCTCATTCTCATTACCTAATATACCTTCATAAACTCCTAATTCCAGAGATGTTTTAAATACATTCGCAAACACATTCTTGCTTTTTAACTGTCAAAGCTCGACACCAGAAAAAAATTAACTCAAGCCAGAAGATTATCTTCATAAACATTATGTTCTTAATAGAAGCAAACTGCTCTTTTCTCTTAAGCAAAATAGAAAATAACGATGCAATACCTTTTATACTTGGCTTTCAAACTGTGAATGGGAACACTTTTCCAAAGTTGCTAATATACAAAAGAACCAAACAAAATGGTTAAAAAAAAAAAAAAAACATGGAAATGAAAAACTTCTCTCTGCTGAAAGAAACTGTTCTTTGTTGATAAAGGGAGGTTCAAACATATTTTAAATATTTTTAAACAAAGGCCTAGCTGATGTCCCTTAATCCAGCCAGCCAGCTCAACTTTCTGTGCAGGCAGCTGCTGCAGTGGAGCACCCGTCCAGAAGGGAGGGCCAGAGCATTTCCATAGCGTTCCACATTCCTGGGGGACATGGGACTTAGCAAGGTTAACAGCAATTTTCAACCTCCAATGCAAGTACAACAACATCTTCATAAAAGTTTTACAAGGACATCCTGGCAAGAACCAAACTATCACGAAGAGTAATGTTTTGGGGCCCTGAGCATTCCATCCAGCAGCTCGCTTTTCTTGGCCACTTCTCCTGGCTGTGTGGTGCAAACCAGCGGTCAGCTGGGAACCCGCAGGAGGGTCCCATGGAGAATGCACTCGGAGAAAAGAAAGCCAGATATACCCATGCTGGCTCAGTGCTCCTTGCTCCACGGGGAAGAGGAGCAAGTGGAGGCCAGCAGGATTTTAATACCTCTCATCAACACAGGGGAAGAGGTACATGCAAACGGGATGGGAGCAGGTACATGGAGTCGCCTATCTCTGAGTCCCTAAACCATCTCTATCCATCTTTCCAGAAAACACAGTCCTCAACCTTGCATTCTTCATTAGCGTGAGCAGTCACAGAGCACTGCTCTGAGGAGGAACCTTACATGGCAGGCGCACAGGTCACCCTGGGAGACCAGCCGTGGTGTGACCTGTAGAACAAAGGTCCAAGGTGAGCAAGAGAACCACAGGGCCATGGGAGACAGCAGTCAGCTTTGAGTTGGTATTCATTTCCCAGGGCTGCCTTAACGAACTACCATAAACTGGGTAAAAAAGAAATTTGTCATCTTGCAGTTGAGACTAGAAGTCCAAAATCAAGATGTCGACAGGGTTGATTCCTTATGGGGGCTATGAGGGAATCTGTTCCACACCTCTCCCCTAGCTTCTGGTGGGCTGCTGGCAGTCTTTGGTGTTTCTTGGCTTGTGGAATCATCACCCCAATCACTGCCTCCATCTTCACTTGGCACGTTCCTGGTGTGTGTGCATATGTCCAGATTTCCCCTTTTAATAAGGACACCAGTCATATTGGATTAGGGCCCACCCTGACGACCTTAATTGAACTTGATTACCTCCGTAAAGACTCAATCTCCAAAAAAGGTCGCATTCTGAGGTGCTGGGAGTTAGGGTTTCAACATATAAATTTGGGGGGACACAATTCAACCCAGAAGAGGGCCCTTAGGAGAACCACTAGTGGTTGAAAAAGGAAGGGCGCTATAAGAAGATATTAGCATTTTCATTCTTCAGTATCTCTTTCACACTAAATAACTACAGAAGCCAAAAGTCTATAATACCACAATAAAGGAATAAGTTAAATGAATAATTTTTTTAAGTGGGTAGAAAGATGTGGGAGAGAGAAACACAGGCAAGGTGCCATCACAGGGGGAAACAAGGAAAAATGAGGTGTAAAATGATACATTCATAGACTGTTTTGGCAGAGGCCTGTTGCCAGTAGCTATACAGTAGACTCTCAGAGTTTGGCAAGATATAAAAGAGGACAAGGCGCAAAATACATTAATGGCCCAGCTACGGCTTTAGATGGAGTCATAATTGGCTGGGAAACTGGGCTCACCTTACAATTCCATGAACTGCTAAGTTGGAGTCTCATGCCATTCAGTAAGGATTTACATGGCAAGAATGAGGTCATTGCCAGCCACTGGCCTGGGCCTGAACTAGACATCAGTCAAGCGTTCTAAGTATAAGGAGTATCCTCAGAAACAGAGATATGGAGGAAGGCCCTAAAGAGCCACTGTCTTTTTAAAACTCAAAACATGAAATAAGGGAAACAGCACATTTGCAAGGTAGGTGGTGAAGAGGTGCTTTTCTTGTTAGAAAGGAAAGGAAAGGAAGAAGAAAATGAGGAAGCAGTTTATTTTCAAAGGAGTCTCAGTGGTTAGTGCTTTGTGATTTTGCATATTGCTAAAGACTGGAAAGAACAACGCAACAAGGTACACAACACTATACACATTTTGCTGCTATCACCATGCAAGTTTATGCTACCAGTCTCAGACAACAGAGCAGCAAGCACCTTCAAAACAATTTTATCCCCATTTCCATTAAATGCTGTCTAGCCCAGTGGTTCTCATCCCATCTGCAAGCCCAGGGCAGGGGGCGGTGGGTGGAGGTTTGTCCTTCAACCTTTTCAGGTAATCTGTGAGGGCAAAACCATTTTTGTAATAACACAAAGACATTATTAGCCTTTTACAGTCTGCTGACATTTGCACTGATTCATGTACAAAAGCAGTGGTGGGAAAAACTGTTGCAAGAATTACAGCAGTGACACCAAACTGCACTCTTGATCATTGTATACTTGGAATTGAAATAAAAGTTTCCTTAAGAATGTTGATGAAGCAATGCAGATGAAGCAATAAAAACTATTAAGTTTATTAAATCTCAACCCTTGAGTACATTAAAAAAAAAATTCTGCGTGGCGAAATGGTTAAATACGCATAAAGCACTTCTGCTGCATACCAAAGCACAGTGGTTGCCTCAAGACAAAATACTTGTGTGATTGTTAGCTGTAAGCCAAACTAGTCAACTTTTTTCACGGAACACCATTTTTACTTAAACGAGTAACTGACCTTAAAGTACAGTTATATAGATGAGTGCAGGGCAGGCATTTTCTCAAAAAGGAATGAAATGAGACTAACACTTCAAGGAAACAATTGATAATATTTTTTGCCAATGATAAAACTTGAACTCTCAAGCAAAAATTAAACTTTTGGGAAATGTGTACCTATCACTATGAGTCTGACAGAATCCTGATACTTAGAGACTTTTCTGTTGGGAACAAATGTGAATTTTTGGCCGGGCACAGTGGTGCACGCTTAATCCCAGCACTTTGTGGGGTCAAGGTGGAAAGATTGCTTGAGCTCAGGAGTTTTGAGACCAGCCTGGGCAACATGGTGAAACCCCATCAGTATAAAAAAAAAATAAAAAAATATAGCTGGTCACAGTGGCATGCAGCTAAAGCCCTAGACACTTGGAGGCTGAGGTGGAAGGATCACTTGAGTCTAGGAGGTAGAGGCTGCAGTGAGCCTAGCTCATGCCACTGCCTTCCAGCCTGGGCAACAGAGTCAGACCCTGACTCAAAAATAAATAAATAGGCTGGGTGCTGTGGCTCACACCTGTAATCCCAGCACTTTGGGAAGCCGAGGCAGATGGATCACCTGAGGTCAGGAGTTCGAGACCAGCCTGACCAACATGGTGAAACCCGTCTCTACTAAAAATACAAAATTAGCTGGGCGTGGTGGCGCGTGCCTGTAATTCCAGCTACTCATGAGGGTGAGGCAAGAGAATTGATTGAACCCGGAAGGCAGAGGTTGCAGTGAGCCGAGATCACGCCATTGCACTCCAGCCTGGGCAACAGGAGCGAAACTCCACCTCAAAAATAATTAATTAATTAATTAAATGTGAATTTTTAAGTACTGTATAATGAAATGTTAGTATTTGGAAGAGCTACATGACTAAGTGAATCAATATTTTCTAAATGACCAATGCATGAGATGATAATACAAAATCATTCATTAGTAAAAGATCCATTCAAAATGCAACAGAGACCAATAGATTTCAAAGTGAAACAGTAGGAATAGTTCATTGACATGGTTTCAGATTCTACATTGCAACTAATCTTTCAGAAACTACCTCTTGTCCAGTTTAGATATAGTATCAAAGAATACTCATAATTACTAATATCTTAACAGGCTATAAAATACTCCTCCCTTTTCCAACTACATATCTGTGTAAGGCTAGATTTTCTTAGTTATACTTCAACCAAAGCATATTGCAACAGACTAGGTACGGAAGTGGATGCAAGAATCCAACTGTCTTACTAAGCCAGGCATTAAAGAGATTTGCAAATATATAAAACAAGGCCATTTTTCTCACTATATTTTCTAAAACAAAAAGATATTTTAGGCCAGGCTTGCTGGGCCAACACCTGTAATCCCAGCACTTTGGGAGGCCAAGGTGGGAGGATCACTTGAAGCCAAGAGTTCGAGACCACCCTAGGCAGCAAAGCAAGACTCGGTCTCTACAAAAATTTTTTTTAAATAGCCAGGCATGGTGGCACATGCCTGTAGTCCCAGCTACTTGGGAGGCTAAGGCAGCAGGATCACTTGAGCCCAGGAATTCAAGGCTGCATGGAGCTATGATTGTGCCACTGCACTCCAGTCTAGGCGACAGAGCAGGACCACATCTTTTTTAAAAAAATTTTTTTTTAAATAAAAAACGTTATTTGTAGCCAGGCGCAGTGGCTCACACCTGTAATCCCAGCACTTTGGGAGGCCAAGGTGGGCGGATCAGAAGGTCAAGAGATTGAGACCATCCTGACCAACACGGTGAAACCCCGTCTCTACTAAAAATACAAAAATTAGCTGGGTGTGGTGGCACACGCCTGTAGTCCCAGCTACTTGGTAGGCTGAGGCAGGAGAATCACTTGGACCCAGGAGGCGGAGATTGCAGTGAGTCGAGATCACGCCACTGCACTCCAACCTGGTGACAGAGCAATACTCCATCTCAAAAAAAAAAGTTATTTTTGTTAACATGTAATGTGTTTTTAACCATTCTTAAATGAATTTTAAATGTTTGATTCTAACTTCTCAGATGGCAAATCTCTTTGTGATCCAACACTTTAAAAGTGTAACTACCCTTATGATTCAATAACAAAATGAGTAACCCAATTGAAATGGACAAATGATCTAAACAGGCATTTCTCCAAAGAAGGTATATGAATGGCCAATAAGTACATGAAAAGATGCTCAACGTCATTAGGCATGAGGGAAGTGCAAACCAAAACCACAATGAGATATCACTTCATACCTGCTAATATAGGATGGCCATAATAAAAAGAATATAAATAATAACAAGTATTAGAGAGGGTATGGAGAAATTAGAATCCTCATACACTACTGATGGGAAATGTAAAATGGTATAGATATGTTGGAAAACAGTCTGGCAATTCCTCAAGACATGAAACAGAGTGGCAAATATGACCCAGCAATTCCGCTCCTAAGTATATACCCAAGAGAAATGAAAACATGTCCATAAGCTGTACATGAACATTCATAGCAGCATTGTTCATAATAAACAGAGTGAAAACAACCCAAATGCCTACTGACTGAAGAGTGGATACATAAAATGTGGTATATCCACACAATGAAATACTACTCAGTAATACATGGCTGATAGCAAGTTATCAGTGGAAGAAAATTCTATCTACCTGTGCATTCCCATATGTGCTTATTTAAAGGATTCAAAATAAAGTGTTAAAAGACTAAACCAACTTAAGAGAACCAACTCTACCCTCACTAGTCTCTCCCAAATGATGAGCCCAATAGAAGTGCAGCATTCTAGTTTTACCCATATTCCAACATTTTGAACTACCCTCTCAATACCTGCCCAAGATATGGCTGCTATATTTCTCTTCTCCCCATTCTTACAGGTTTCCCAAGCAATTGTTGACAGTGAAGGCTGAGGAAGCGTAAGGCCTGTCAGGTTGTGATCTCATAGCTACTCACCTCCTCACTCAACCAACCTCATGGTCAAGTACTCCTCAACAGAGACCATAGATCTTTCAACTATCAACAGCCATCACCAGCTACTGCCAAACACAAATGAAACCCACTCCCCAGTCCCCAGAACACCCTCCTCCCACTCTGATGCTCCTAGACAAACTGTTCATAGAACCATCATCTGCTAACACTTCTCATTCTTCCCAAATTACAAACATTTCCAAATAAAGATGGCATCCATAACTAGTGATTTCAACCACCATCAAACAGAAAGCTCCCAAGTCCCTTGCCATTCGTCCGTATTTAGTAAATGGACGGTCTACCTGGACTTTCTCATAAACAACCAGTCCAAACACCAATTCCCAAATACTAGTAAGTCATTTTGAAGTCAGGCATCATTACATGATTACAGAAGGATGACACATTATTGTACTGAGTTCCTGCTAAGCGATATAACTTCCTTCAGATAACACTGCAACTTAAAAACCCCAAAGCCATCTCTCACACAAAGAAAAAAGGGGGCTTTAATTTTAAAAAGCACAAACCCACAAACACATTCTAACAACAACAAGAAGAAACACAGAGAAAAGTCATTGTCTTGGTTCATCTATTAAGTCCTTAGCTTTAGACAAAATATTCTCAAAATAATTTTCGGGGGGTGAAGAGTCAATTAAAACAAAAGTTTTCTCAACTTATAAAACTACAGGCTGGGGTGTCCCTTATCCGAAATGCTTGGGACCAGATCCTCAAATATTTGCATTATACGGACCAGTTGAGCATCCCTAATCTGAAAATCTGAAATGCTCCAATGAGCATTGCCTTTGAGCATGTCAGCACTCAAACAGTTTCAGATTTTGAAGCATTTCAAATTTCAGATTTTCAGATTAAGGATACACAATCTGTGATACCTGACCACTGAAGAACTTGGAATATGAAGAAAATGAAAGCACTAAAAATCCCATTACCAAAGAGACAGATTGTGGATAGAATTTCATTCTTTTTCTGTGTATGCCACACAATTCTTTTTTTTTAAATAGAGATGGGGCCGGGCACAGTGGCTCATGCCTATAATCCCAGCACTTCAGGAGGCCGAGGCGGGCAGATCACGAGGTCAAGAGATCGAGACCATCCTGGCCAACATGGTGAAACCCCGTCTCTACTAAAAGTACAAAAATTAGCTCAGCGTGGTGGTGCCCCCCTGTAGTCTCAGCTACTCAGGAGGCTGAGGCAGAAGAATCGCTTAAACTCGAGAGGTGGAGGTTGCAGTGAGCCAAGATCGCACCACTGCACTCCAGCCTGGCCACAGAGCAAGACTCCGTCTTAAAAAAGAAAAAAAAAAAAAAATAGAGACGGGTTTTGCCATGTTGCCCAGGCTGGTCTTGAACTCCTGGGCTCAAGCCATCCACCCTCCTTGGCCTCTCCAAGTGCTGGGATTACAGGTGTGAGCCACCGTGCCCGGTCCTTCTTTTTAAATTACGATCATATGACACATTGCTTAATATTCTGCTTTTTTCACTTATGAGCATTTTCCCCTGACATTAAGTATCCTCAAACAATCTAGATGTCTGCACAGTACTCTACTATAAGAACAAAAATATTATCATTTAGCTAGCCCTTTATTGTTAGATATTGTTAGTAATTTTCTATTACGAATAACATGTTAGTGAACATCCTTACCTGTAAGTCTTGAGATACACATCTTTGACTTTTTTTTTTTTTTTGAGACAGGGTCTCATTCTGTTGCTAGCTGGTCTTGAGCTCTTGAGCTCAAGTGATCCACCCACCTCAGCCTCCCAAAGTGCTGGGATTACAGGCATAAGCCACTGCACGCAGCCCATCTTAAACTTTTTTTAAGGATAAACTCCTAGAAGAAAAACTGTTGAGTCAAGGAGTATGAGTATTATTATTATTTATTTATTTATTTATTTATTTATTTATTTATTTGGAGACGGAGTCTCGCTCTGTTGCCCAGGCTGGGGTGCAGTGGCACGATCTTGACTCACTGCAACCTCCACCTCTTGAGTTCAAGCAATTCTCCTGCCTCAGCCTCCAGAGTAGCTGGGACTACAGGTGTGTGCCACCATACCCCCGCTAATCTTTTTTTTTTTTTTTTTTTGAGATGGAGTCTCGCTTTGTCACCTAGGCTGGAGTGCAATGGCACAATCTTGGCTCACTGCAACCTCTGCCTCCTGGGTTCAAGTGATTCTCCTTCCTCAGCCTCCTGAGTAGCTGGGACTACAGGCGTGCGCCACCACGCCCGGCTAATTTTTATATTTTTAGTAGAGACAGGGTTTCGCCATGTTGGCCAGGCTGGTCTCGAACTCCTGAGCTCAAATGATCCACCTGCCTCGGCCTCCCAGAGTGCTGGGATTACAGGCGTGAGCCACCGCACCCGGCATTTTTCATATTTTCAGTAGAGACGGGGTTTCACCATGTTAGCCAGGATGGTCTCAATCTCCTGACCTCGTGATCCGCCCGCCTCAGCCTCCCAAAGTGCTAGGATTACAGGTGTGAGCCACTGCACTCAGCCAAAGTAGTAAGTTTATATAATGAAATCTTTAAGTAGCTCTCCTCTAAACTGTGAAGACTTAGAAAAAAAAAATGTTCCCCCAAAGACTATATAATCAAACAAAACAAAGTGCTGGGATTACAGGTGTGAGCCACTGCACCTAGCCGGGGTATGAGTATTTTTAAGACTCTTGATACATTGTACTGCTACAAGCCACCCTCCCCACCAGCAGTGTGTAAATATCTATTTTCTTGTATCTTTTTATAAAAATGATTGCTAATTTTATTTTAGACTCTCCTCTTTGGGTAGCTTTAAAAATGGCTTTTTTTTTTTTCCTTTTTGGCCTTAATCCGGGGTTCTTTTGGAATTCTTGCTGTCCCACAATGTCCTTGTCCCTAATTTGTCCAAGGCAAATCCACCGAGCTAAACAGAAATGCACAAACTAGTTACACACGGAACATCATAAGCTGTCCATGCAAAATAAGAGCCACATGTCCAGGAATACTGCTACTTTAAATAAAACAAAAACTTAATGCTTTGGGAGAAAATAAATGTGTTAAAATGTGTGGAGATTTAGGTAATTTGGCAATTCTCAGAGCTCAGATTACACCAGGAAACAAGTTTAGTGCCAACACACAAACACTTGGAAAGTGTAAAGAGGAACAAATGGCACCCCTCCCCCCCCATGTGTGTTAATCACATTATAATAAAAATGAGAAGTAAATCAAGTAGCTTCAGTAACCACCACAGCATCTACTTCAAAATTAGCTCACAACTAGGACAACCCTATGAACTTAAAACTGTTTGATTCGGCACTAATATCCCCGCCACACATAAACACACATGCACCCTCTCCAAACCTCATATTTTAGAGAGAGAAAACACAGGCTGAGGGACGCTGGGAACCCTAAAAGAAATGTGCTAACAGCAGGCCTCTACCCCCAGCCTGGTAAATCTCTCATCTATAATCCAACATGAGAGACAACAGGCAAACAGCAAGAGGTCATCGTCAAAGGATCGGTTGCTAAGGGAAGCAAGTGTAGAGGCAGCAAGCATGTCCCCATCAAAGTCCAGCAGCTGCAGAAGAACCACAAAGGTACAGCTCCCTTCAGACCGGAGCAAGAATGGGGCAGGGGGAGGCACTGGGGGAGGACCCCCGGGGGAGGGGAGACAGAAGGAGGAGGAGGGACAGAGAGAAAAACATCAGACCAGCAGCAGCTGCCCAGTGGAACATAAAACCTGGTAGTTTTGCACTGTTCAACAAGGGGGAAATAGGGTAAAGAAGAAACACTTAAAATAGCATTTTCTGAACATACCTTTTAAGTGCTAGTCAAATCTTTCAACATACCTGCAAGATGGTCAGATAAAGCCCACAGCTCTGGAAATAGCAGCCATTAGTGATAAAAGGGGAAAGTACCAGCTTTAAGGACATCTTAGTACGCATACAATCCTGTCTCGGTAAAAAAATCTCTAAATCCTTAGTCCAAAATGTCTACATCCCAAAAGGGCAACACCAATCACACAGAAGAGGAGACTTATCACTGGTTCACAGAATCTAAATAGGGGAATCTGAGGGCACCTCTTAATTTGAGTAGAAGCTGCTCTCATTTTTCCAGTTGAAAGACACAAGGGTCAATAGAGTTTGCAGCTCTTAAGTGGACACCTCAAACAGTCTCTTTCACATCTGAGATCTCTAACCTCAGACGTAGCACGGACCCCTAAGAATCATACAGGATTCCAGGGTAAGAGACCGCTAGAGAATCAAATTCCACTCTCTCGCTCTGGAGAAAGATCTTGGGATACACTAAGAGACTTGCCCGAGGTCACTCAGCTAATCTGGAGCCCAGGTAGTCTCCCAACTCCCAGGCCAAAGTTCTTTCTACTGACAAGCTACAACTATGAAGGTCTAGGGACAAGAAGGAAAGGGGCTAAAAGCTTGCATTTGTCACTTAGTTTCTGGTTGCTACCAAGGCTTGATGTGCTATATGAAAGGGCCAGGTCTTTTTTCTTGTCCAAAAAAAGAACAGTCCGCCTGTTGGTTTTAGTAGGTTTTCAGAGAAGTCAGGCTATCAGGCAGTTGGGCACATCTGTGCAGCCTCATCCAGGCTCTCTGCATCGGCATCGCGTCACATCACATAGCTTCAGACAAGCTTTGTTGAGAAACTTCAGATCCTCAAAGAAAGTATGATTTGCTCAAAATTATTTCCTAAAACAGGTGAGAGGTTCACCGGGCTAGAGGTACACATTTGGCTTCAGGCCTGAAACTGCATCAAAGAACCACATCCCATGTGCAGGACAAAACTAAAATGGCACCAGAAATTTCTTCCAGACTAAACCTCAGAAGTCGAAGACTTATGCAGTCTGGTTTGTGTTTGTTTTTGTTGTTGTTGTTGTTGTTTTGTTTTTGAGACAGAGTTTAGCTCTTGTTGCCCAGGCTGGAGTGCAATGGCACGATCTCTGCTCACTGCGACCTCCGCCTCCCGGGTTCAAGAGATTCTCCCACCTCAGCCTCCCCTTCCACCTCCCGGGTTCAAGAGATTCTCCCACCTCAGCCTCCCGAGTAGCTGGGATTACAGGCATGCGCCACCACGCCCAGCTAATTTTTGTATTTTTAGTAGAGACAGGCTTTCACCATGCTGGTCACTTGAGGACTTTGGGCCTCAAGTGACCCACCCGCCTCAGCCTCCCAAAGTGCTCGGATTACAGGTGTGAGCCATGGTGCCCAGTTGAGCAGTCTGTTTTTAATGAATGGGTCTGTCTTCACCACATTTTGCAGATATAAAACATCCCAGGTTAGAAACAAAAATAAAACAACATTTTACTGGCTCTTCAATAGGCCAAGATTTTATCTATATTTGTCCTCAGCCAAGTGGAAAAGAGAAAAGGAAAACGAGAAATTTTAAAAAATAAAAGTAATAAAGTCATCTTATTTTATCAGTTTGGTAAGCTTAGAATTGCATATGTAGGATTTTAGTAGTGACAATTAGGGTGAAGCTGAAATTGAATTTCTAAAATGAAAAATAAATAAATTAGTTAAATTAAGACCAAAAACCTTCTCTGAATTCAAATCAATAAAAATACAAATTTGCACTACTCCAGATGACTTACAGCCACGCATCTAATAAACAAGCAGGTGCACCCAGGCACATGCAAAGGACTCTTGATTTCCCTCCCTGGCTGCCACCACCACCACCGGCATCTAAGCCAACCATTTTTGCAGTGATAGGATTTCCAAGTCCCCTACCCTACTCTTCTCATTTTAATGCCAGAGGAAAATAAAAGTATGAGGAGAGACATAGGTACTTATTTACATGAAGAAAGATTTCCTACAGCCCTTTTGCTTCTGTCACTAAACATGCCAGAGAACTGACGTCCAAAAAGGGGGAGGAAAAAAAAAGGGAATCAGGAGGGTGATCAAAGTGCTTAAAATGGAACAACTGTCCATAAAATGAACAACCTCCATGAAATAAATTTCTGTAACATTTTGGTCATTTTATAAATTTTTTTCTGGGTGGGGGTGCTGAAACCATCAGGCTTCTGGCTGCAATAGTAAATTACGGAGGAGAGTAAATCCCTACTGGTTCGTCTCTTTTACAGTTCACACCCAGAAATTAATTTTAAAAGATCCAACCCAACCCCCTATCCAAAGAATCAGACTCACTCCTGCCCTTTGAACCTTCTGAAGGTTGAGGAGGAAGACCTCCGTGGCCCCAGGTCAGGCGCTGCAGCCTCTGAAGGGGAGGGCAAGAGCCTCTGAATGACCAGATTAAGTGTGAATGGAAGAAGAACCTGTGATTAAGTTTTCTAAATCGTTGGCTCTCTTAAGAGGGAGCAATCTCCTATTTAAGAAAAAAAAAAAAAAAAAGCAGAAACCTAGTGTGGCTCTGTAACTGCCCTCCAAAAAGAATCCTGCTCTTCAAATCTAGGAGAGTAGATTTTCACATACTCTAACAAGTTTAGCTGATTTTCCAGAAGGAGAAAAAAAATAACACTGCCATACCTCTCAAGATTACTATTTAGACAGTTCAGGTTGACATGGAACATGGTTTAACTACCAATCTTTCTAGGACGAACTCAGAAACTTATTAAGAAACTAGCCTTTCCCTTAATTCATTTAGCCTTGTCTTCAACCAAAACTTCTTTACAGTATTATTCCAATTTCACTGGCCCAGAATCCCTGCCAGAATGCTCCCTCCTCTAAGCACGAGCAGGAAAGGAAAAGAATGGGCAGCATTTTCTCTAACCTGTGGCAGTCTGGTAAGAATTGCCCTGGCTACACAAGACATAGGCCTGCTGAGGTTTTGTTCTGCTTTTCTAAGTTGGGGGAAAATATCAACATAAATCTTTCCTCACAGTGAAAGACCTGAGGATTAAGTTAATTCATAATGAGGACTACTCATATATCAAGATATAATTCATTAAAAATCTTTTTGAATAAAATGCTCAATGGCCCTTCTATGTTAAAACTCAAGTTTGGGTGTCAAAGGCTAACGTCTAAAAAACCAGTGGGGGAAGGATGGTTGGAAGAGGTGAAAAAAACTCTTCAAAAACCATAACATGTAAGCTCCACCTGACTTGGGGTGTAGGATGTGAACCCTTTCTACAGCATCTGGTTCTACAACTAATATTTAATGTGCTTCCATTAAATTGCAGGGGACACAAGAATGAAAGGCACAGATTCTGCCCTCCGAGAAACAGTACTTGCAGAGGAGAGACGGCACAAACAGGATAACATGTAAATGGGAGTGAGGCCCATTAAGAGAATGCTCTGAGGATGCAAAGACTGAGGGCACAGGGGATTTCAGGGAGGGCTTCAGGATTTGGTCTTAGAGATAAAAGACCGGGGGATTTCGTTCTGTCCTTGTTTCTATCCGGAACTTTCCAAGGACTTTTAAAGGCAGGTTTCAACTCAGCAACTGATGTGGCAGAGATTATACGTTTATGCTAAATATACTAAACACATTATATGTACATATTTACTAAACACAACAATAGCTACTTCTTATATGTATTTATTTAATCTTAACCCTAACAAACATATGAAGTATATTTTGAGGTTTTGTTTTTTTTTTTTTTTTGAGATAGAGCCTCACTCTGTTGCCCAGGCTGGAGTGCAGTGGCACAATCTTGGCTCACTGCTACCTCCGCCTCCCAAATTCAAGAGATTATCCTGCCTCAGCCTCCCAAGTAGCTGGGATTACAGGCACATACCACTATCCCAGCTAATTTTGGTATTATTAGTAAAGACGGAGTTTTGCCATGTTGGCCAGGCTGGTCTCAAACTCCTGGCCTCAAGCGATCTGCTAGCCTTGGCCTCCCAAAGTGCTGGGATTACAGGCATGAGCCACCGTGCCTGGCCTATTTTGAGATATTAATACCAAAAACTCAGAGAGGTTAAATGCCTTATCTAGAGTCACACAGCTAAACAGTAATATTCAGAATTAGAACTCGGGTCTGATTGCCAAATCTGATGCTATACTTCCATCTGTTCTGCCATGGTTCCAAGCACATGCCTTACTTCTAGTGGATTTTTTAAGGTATCCGAAACCCATCTTACATCTTACAAACTCTAATGTAATACTTATCACATAATCATTTGTTTTATATATACATCTCCCCTCAGCTATAAGACTGTGAGTTCCCTAAGCATACCCTTCACCTTCATATTCTGGCACTAGGTGTGGCACTCAGGAAGACTCCATAAACCAAGCAATGTTCACCCTAAGCTGAACAGCTCATGTCACCCAAAGTACCAGAGACAGCCTGCTTCAGCTAGAAAGTCGTCAAAAGTTTTTGCTCACTTAACCTCCCTGACCCTCAGTTTCCTCATCTGTTAACAGGGATAATGATACCTATGAGTAAGACTGTTTTGATAACTAGGTTAGATAATACACGCTAAGTGCTTGGCAGTGCCTAGAATACGCTAAGTACTCCACAAAGGAGGGCAAATAATCTCTAACCTCCACTTTAAGATAAAAGGGAGGTGTGCCAGACCTCACCTTTAATCTGCTAGATTAAAATAGATAAGATATATTTAAAAGGGTGTAAAACAATGTGTTGTCCATTAAAAATAATGGTGCAGATCTAGGTATACTGAAAAAAAAAAGCTTTCAAGACATATTTAAATGAAAAAAGCATGTCTTAAAATAAGATGGATGGGTGTGTGTGCATAATTACATGTGTATATAAATATATAAAAAATACTCTGAAATATATAGGAAGTGGGATGGTAGGAGTGAAGAGGCACTCTGTCATTATGTATTTCTGATATTTGAATCCTATGAAAATACATTCATGTATTTTCAATAAAAGCAGTAACAATGTGGAGTTAACAGTAATGTATCAATGTTGGCTCCTTTGTTCTGACAAATGTTCCATAATAGTGTAAGATATTAACAGTAAGAGAAACTGGGTGCTGGGTATACAGGAGCCCTCTGTTCTATCTTTGCAACTTTTCCACAAATCTAAAACTATTCCAAAAGAAAGAAGGTTGTTTTTTTAAAAAGCAACGCTATGTACAGCACAAAACTATCATTGTTTTTAAAAATATGTCCACATATGTATGAATATATTCATTATACCCTAAAATGTTAACAGTGGTTCTCTCCCGAGTGGTAAGACTGAAGACGATGTTCATTTCCTTGTACCTTCTAGATCAGTGGTTCTCAAAGGGTGGTTGCCAGGTCAGCTGCAGTAGCAGCAGCATCTGGGAACTTGTTAGAAATGCAGATTCTCAGGCCCCACCCCAAAGCTACTGATCAGACACTCTAGAGGTGGGGCAGATGATTCTGATAGATGCAAGTTTGAGAACACGGTTCTAGATCACAGAAACTGGTTTTGTAACAAGTGCCACTTTTATAGTCACAATAATAGAACAATGAAACTTGCAAAAGGGGTCAGTATGTTGATGGATGAACAGCATTTTAAGAGCCAACACATGCCCAAACACAGTACGTGCACCAGGAGGCAGGCGCAGTCTAGTTCAAGCTCACACTGACCTGTTCTGTCCAGTCCCCAGCCGCAGCCACCACTAAAGCCAGCTTCCATGGGGGTCTCTGGGATCCCTACAGTGATAAATCTCAGACAAACAAGTCTGGCATGAGTTTTTTTCTTTCCTTTTGTTAAAAAAAAAAAAAAAAAAAAAAATATATATATATATATATATATATATATATATATATATATATTATAAGAGAGAAGTAGGTTGGCAGCGGATTACTGTCTTCGTCTTCAAATGTATGGCCTCCAGTCTCAATTTTATAATAACAGCACCAGCCAGGGCATGACAGCTAAGAGTTTAAAAGATAGAGACTCATTTGCACAATTTAAAAAGAATCCTAAACCTGTATGCAGTAGCAGCTCAGATGAATGAGGTGTCATGTTAAGTTACAAGCCCTGGCTTTGGGATGGCCGCTCAATGCCCTTCTTTGATCCCGTTCCATGGTCCAGGTAGATATATAATCCCCAGCTTCTTCCCCTCCTACTACATTCTGAGACTCCTTGGACAGTGCAGGACTCCAGCTACTGTAGAAGACGCCTAGAATTTTTATTTCAGCTCTACTCTCAGAGGCAGTCGAGGGACTGTTTTTGTCTATTAGCAAAACTATGAAAGCCATGGTTAAGAAAAGCACAGAAATCCAACCTTAAAAAAAGAATCACTACTTCTTAGAGCCACTTAATTTATTTCTACTCTGTGGATGAAAAAACCAAGGTGGGCTGGAGTACAGCAAATATAAACGGATCAGAAGTAACCCACCCACCACCAAGTAGCTACTCAGGGCACTTCCTGGGCCCAGGAAGCAGGGGCCACAATCCCAGGTGCTCCCAGGAGCCTGCTGCTCTGCCAGGGCATCCAGCAGAGTGGACCTCAGGATCCCAGGAGAGGTACCGGGGCACTAGGAGCTGAAAGGAGTCAGGGTTGCCTGCTGATGTACTCCAGGGCAAGGGACACACCTTGTCAAGGCAGGAGACCACACAGGGTGGCATGCTGGGTGGGCATGATGGTCACGACACCTAGGCTGAATAGGCAGAGATGAGAGATGGACCAAGCTGGAAAAGTGGCCAGGGCTCTGGCTCTGGGGCGTGGCTGAGTCAGGTCAGGACTCTCAGCCAGAGAGGATTAGGAGAATAAAACTGGAGTGCAGAGAGGAGACCATTTTTCCTGATCAGGGACCTATGGCTGAAAGACCTTTGCAAGATGTTAGGAGCACCGTAAGTGGAGATTCACAATAAAAGCCCCAAGGTGAAACAAAACTATGGCGGTTGGGAGGGAGTGACCAACTGACTCAGAGAAACCTGTGCCAAGGAGAACATGGAGAGCTTAGCTTCCTAAATTACCTTGACTATGTTCACTCTGCACCCCCGAACTCCTCTCACATCACAGAGGGCACCAGAAGAGCCTGCCAGAGGGGTTCAATATGCCCTGGTGGTGATGGATGGGAAGTACAGGCAACACTTCTTGAAGCAAATGCATCATCTACTCACCTCTCCCCACCCTCTGAGTTAGTGGGATGGTCGGGAATTCGGGTAGGGGAGCCATTTTGAAGACCCTAAGAGAATTACCTTGCTGCTGGGGAAAGTGATCCTACATCAGATTTAAGAAAATGGATTCTATCATAAACCACAGTGAAAGAATTGTAGAGAATCATTTTCTGCAGCCAATAAAGGGTGGAACTGAACAAATCTAAGAGGAGATGGGAGAAGGCAGCAGGCTGATCCAAGGTGGCTGGCCAGATCTGTGTCAGGGATGTTGGTGTGGGCACCCTACCCACACATTACTTCAACAGAGACAGGCTAGCCTCCAAGTGCACAAAGACAGCAGTCTTGACCCCAAAGAGTGGAGCCTAGTGAGGATATTTCAGGCAAAGAACCCGGAATGAGAGAAATGAACTGAGGACATGGGCAGAGCACCCAGAAAGCAAAGCCACAGAACAACAGGGCTAAGGGCAGAGAGGAATGACTGGAAACCTGACAACGAGTAGGCTTCACCACACGGGCGCCAGGGTGGGCTGCCCCCATAAGGCCAGAGTGGATCATGTGACTGGGGCACTCACAGTGGGACCTCTAGGGGCAAAGGGCAGGTACACAGGCAACCTTAAAAACCTTCTGCTAAAGGGTTTGTGTGCTTGTGTCTCAGATGGAAAGAATCAAGTTATTTTGAAATTCCATCCTAGACAAGCCCTATTAAGAGAAAAAGAAAGGAAGAATCCAGAACCATAGCACATCCAGAAAGCAGGGCAATGCCTGAAGCTTCCAGAAGAAAAGTGAAACCCAGCAGCTTACGCTAAATGCCTGAATTACAAGCCATGATGGGGCTGTGTTATCGTGCATCTAGCATACCCTACATTCAGAGAAGTCCTGGGCCAGCAAGTCAAGTAACAGGTGTATAGGATAATCCCATTTATGCAAAACCATGTGTGAGTATAGAGAAATGCACAGAAAAAAAAACTGGAAACCCAGCTGGTCCCAGTGATATCTACAGGAAGAACAGGATGGGAGGGTTTCCCCTTTTTAATCAATATACTTTTTTTTTTTTTTTTTTTTTGAGACAGAGTCTTGCTCTGTCACCCAGGCTAGAGTGCAGTGGCACTATCTCGGCTCACTGCAGCCTCCATCTCCCAGGTTCAAGAGATTCTTGTGCTTCAGCCTCTGGAGTAGCTCAGACTACAGGCATCTGCCACCACACCTGGCTAATATTTGTACTTTTAGTAGAGACGGGGTTTCACCACGTTGGCCAGGCTGGTCTCGAACTCCTGACCCCAAGTGATCTGCCTGCCTCAGCCTCCCAAAATGCTGGGATTACAGGAATGAGCCACCGCGCCCAACCTAATCGATATACTTTTTCGCTGTTTAGATTTTAATGAGTATGTCTTCTTGCATTACAGGAGTAATTCTTTTCTTTCTTACTTCAACATTCAGGGGAAACAGGGGTAATTCTTTAAGACTTTTTGTGATTGTTGTTTAACAAAATTTAAGTCCAAGAGAGTTGAGCGATGGCTATCAATGAATGGCTTTTGATGCCAAGTCTCAATGCACCTCATCAGCTCTTTTTCCAAAGGGTATTTGAGAGTAAATAAGAGGCAGAGAGAAACGGCCACTCCAAAGCACTCTATACAGAAACAGACTAAAATTTTATGGGGCCCTCTAGGCTGAGAAGCTATTAGGCACGACAGCTCCAAACAGCTAGGTGGTAAAGAAAGCACTCCAGAGGAGCCACTCAAGAGTCTCCAAGATCTTCCCATTTGGAAGCTGGAAAGTACTTTTGTTCTCAGGGTTTAAGTTTCTGGGTCACCCAGCCTTTTGTTAATAAGCAAATGAACACATCTGCAGTAGAGCAGTACCCTCTTTGTTCCTTCCCCCAAATATGAATGACCTGGAGAGCATTAATACATCAGGTCCTTAAGCAGAAAGCACTCAGCCATGTTTAACTGCACCCCACCATCATTCCATCTCCACCGAGCAACTCTAATGAGTATCCCAAATAAGAAAAGAGGTACCACTCACCATGATACAATGAAATAATCACTGCAGCCCTCTTCCTCAGACCCAGATGAGGGGGAGGGGGAGGAGGGAGGAGGGAGGGGAGAGAGAGAGAGAGAGAGAGAGAGAGTGAGTGTGTGTGTGTGTGTGTGGGGGGGGTGGGGTGGGGGTGGGGGTGTGATAGGAGTTTACAAAATATTAAGGAGGCAAACTCTCTGTACCCACAAGGCCAGAGTTTCTTTGGACATAATCAAGAATCTTCCTTTGATGTGGCCTAATGTCTATTCTCATCCTGTTCTAGCATCTCCTCGGAGGAAAAACAAAGCTCCACTGCCAGAAAATGTTCCAAGTAATTGTTGATAACAGATAATAGCAGAGGAAGCCCTTTGGTTAATGTTTAAACATGGCAGAGGTAACATTAACTCCTTAATCGTTATCATGAGCACCAGGAGACTCAAACATTAATGCAATGGGCTCATGGCTCATCAGGAAAACTGACTGCTTCATTCAGGCTCAGGAATGCTCTTTATAAAAAATCCCAATAACACCTAAAACTGCTTTGAATTACCACATTGCTCAAACTTAAATTGATTCATTTTTAAACAACTATAATATACAATCCCCCCAGTGTTTAAAAGCAGATTCCAATAATTTCCAGAGAAGTTAAGGAGAAGAAAGAGAAGATGATGGTAGAGTTGGGATATAATTGAGAAGAATGCGTTAGTTCATGAGTTTAGATGATATTTTTAAAACCACAAGCTATTAAAATACAGGTTTGCTATGAAAGGGAAGTCTGTATTCTAAAATGTCAGATGATGTACTTTGGAAGATTTGGCCACTATCATAGGTGGAACACACACTTCATCCTAATACAAACCTTGGCAATCTTTGTTTCCATATAATTAGCCGTTTTGCTCTTTCATTAAGGTAGAAGAAGGGAGAGGAAGGGGGCATGGGAAAGATCAGAGAGAACAGACAGTATCTCTTAGAGAAGACATGTATTAAAGATTCACTGCTGGTATCAAGAAGGCTACAGAGCTCCTGATGAATCTCTTCTCAGCCTTTTAGCTGAGATCAAGTGCAGAGCTCCTGATGGGCAGACAGACATTTGGTGACTTTCTTCTGTGACGGTTCTTAAGGAGAGCCAACCATGGCCAGTAACACCCAAGACAAGGATTCAAGGCAATACGGGTCAGCTCTGCCCAGGCTTTTGGGGTTCCAGTTGCAGAAGCCCACTTTTCTGCCCAGTTTTGCCTCTCAGCTGAGTCAATGCAGGGCAGACTGGCAATGCATCTTAGATCAAGATGAGCAGCAGCATGGTGATAGATCACAAGGACATGCGCACAAAGACCCAATGTTGCTAGGTGGCTACTACACTCTCACACTGCCTGAGATTCTCTGTACATGCCAACAGGGAGCCTGTCATCAGCAAAATGGACATTTTGCACTCACTCCAAAGGCAGCAGGCACCAGGAAAAGTCAGGTTCTCTCCACTCATGCGGATCACTGATCAAAGATCAAAGAGGCAACCAGTTACATTCTTACTCAACAAAGTTAAGATTTTTTTTTTTAACCTGGGTGACCTTTGAGATACCGGCCTTATTTTACAGGTGAGGAAACCAAGGCCAGGAGACAGAACAGCCTCCCCAGCTAAGATAAGCCATCAGCTCTTCCACCTCCCACTTATCACACAGACCTCTTCTTCAATCCTTTCAACCTTGGTTACAAACAGGCACTCAATGATGACCACAGGTGTGGCTGAACGGGTCCTCTCCATGCTAGAGCAGAGTAAGGTTATCATCTAAGCCTCAGCTACAGGTGCCACGCACTACACCTGTCTCTTCCATGGCCTCTGTCCCAAGCTGGCCCATGCCTAGAGTTCTCAAGCTGTCTACAGTGATGCATCACTGAGCTCAGCATATCCCCATTATGCCATCTGCCTTCTCTGTCCATAGGAACCTCACCTGTATTTTGCCATTTGACCAAAGTTTAGCTGAGTAAGACCAAAGTTTAGCTATTACTCACATATTCTCTTTACATGTCTAGCCCAGTGGAACTGGGCAGGAAGAGTCCTCCTGATTCTAGGGTGACAATGTGCTAGGATCTGGTTTGCCTAGTACAATGTTGGCTCCACAGGGCAGGGGTTTTTGTCTTTTCCACTGCAATATTCCCAGTACCTTGCATTGTTGCACAGATGGACAGACGGATGGGTAGGTGGACAGATGGGTGTGTGGACAGATGGACAGATGGGTGGACAGATGGATGGGGCTCCCTAACAATGTAGTAGCCTCTTTGTTTCCCCTTTTGTCAAGACAGTAATGCCGGTCTAACAGCAGAATTTCTGCTGCACTGAAGAGAGACTTAGGCCAATAATCCCAGGGTTTCCCTCATGAGAACTGCTATATACTTTCAGTCTTCTTCAGGTTACACAAGTACTCCCAAAGTAACATCTTCACCTACGGGGCCAAAACTGGGAGATTCTAGCTTCTTTGGGGGCCCAGGGAGCAAGGTTACAAAGAGCAATTGGATCTGCTCCATTTTACACAGGTTCAGTTTCTCTAACACATGAAGTTCCACAAAAAAGGGTCCTTCAAGGTATGAACATCAGTGCAAGATTTATCTAACCATTAGATGGGACAAGACTAGCAGACGGCTCTAATTTTAGTCAACCTGCTGACGAATCACTGGAAGAACAAAAGAGGCATACTGGCAAAAATAAATATAATTTCTTACTTTCCAGAAGACCCTAAAGTGTTGCACTGAAATGACTACTTCTTTTCCTCCAGGGTGGCACAATCTTCACGATGTCACTCACTTTGTATACACATCAAAGCATGGGTAAAGGACTTGTAATGAGAACCTTGGCTGCCTGTTATACTCTGGCCAAACCCTTGGTATTCTCACCCCCTGCCTGCTCACTGGGTTTATCACTGAGAAGCCAGTAATCTCCACTCAAGCAAAACCTATGACAAAGACCCAGCCATGTGATGTGCCTCCACCTTCAGCATGGCAGGAGCCCAAAGCTGTTTCTGCAAGAGTGGGTATAAATTTGCATTGAGCAAGGCCCCCTCCATTCCTCTTCTGACCTAAATCTCTTACTGTGAGGCTCAAGTGCTCTGTGCTCAAAGAGCAAAGGATAGCCAACACATTCTCAGAAGTGCACATCTCAGGCTCAGCATAACCAGCTCATTAATAACATACCAGTGCGCCATGGAACATTTATAAAGGCATTTCCTGTTATGTGGCCTGTGTGTAACCTGCAAGATAACCTGCTCCGTAGTCAAGACAAGCATTACTATCATTCCCATTTGACAGATAAGCAACCTGAGGCTTGTGCCTACTGATGGGCTTGTCCCAAAACCATGGAGAAAGCAACAGAACCGGGGCTTGAACCCAATCTTCCAACTCTCAAATCGGAACCATCCTCTGGGGCCCTTTCCATGAATTTCAGAATATGGCAGGGGCTATTAGCAGACCTATAACTTCAGCCTGCATGCACTGCAGACTCCTGGCTGGGAAACTACTCTCTAGTACCTCCACACACCACTGCTCCCACCAGCTGAGCTATATGTGTTTCTAGATCTGTTTATGCAGACTCACCTCCTATAATTATGTAACTGATTTTAATATTAAACAATGCAAAATATACTATTTTATTCTATGAAAATAAGTTGAATATACTTTGGATAGAAAGACTAAATGAAGGCAAATAACTACAAAAAAAACAAAAACCAAAAAAAAGCACCTGAGAGCTAAGTGCAACTTTGGAAGACAAAAAAAAGCAAAATTCTAGATAGTTCCTGATAGCTTTACAAGTGTTTATACGTATTTGTTCTGCTTTGAAAAAACAAACAAATAAAAAACCCATCAGAAATGTACATTTTCATTTTTTCTTTTTAAATGTTTTTTATTTCTATTTTTTCTCAAACTGAGAGAAATGTTTTAAACGATACATCAAGGCTGAGGTTAATGTAAGGAGTGCATATCTGTGGTCCTATTCACAAAGGCCTGAGCTTGAATCCCTTTTATAAGCTTTAATTAAAACTTAAGATGATTCTTTTTAAATCATTCCCTGCTTCAATTTAACTGACCTTTTTCAATTACCCAACCACCTACAGGTCCCAACAGTATCAGATAACAAGGCTTCTGCTAAAGTGTGAAAATCGTGAAAAGGCACACACTCAGTTGTCATCTGCCAACTGATTTCAATCCCTTGGCCAGTGGACATCTAGACACTTCTGGATTTTCAGATTGGGATGGGGCTTATTATAAAAGAAAATGTCCCTCCGCAGAAATTTATCAGTAACACAGTCAATCTCAATTTAAGTTAGTCCTGAAGAATTTCTAGAACAGTAGTTCTCAACTGAGGTCAACTTTGCCCCTCCCTGCCCCTAACCAGGGGACATCTGGCAGTGTCTGGAGACATTTCTAGTTGTCATAACTGGGAAGGAGGTTTTGCTACTGGCGTCCTGTGGGTAGAGTCCTGGGATGTGGCTCGATATCCTACAACGCACAGGACAGGAGCCACAACAAAAAAATTATCCAGTTCCAAATGGCATCAGTGCCAAGGTGGAGAAACCACGTCTACAATAAGGAAAAAGGAATCCCAAGACCTACAGACACTGTTATATCATCAATAAAGTCAGCTTTTGAACAAACAAAAGCAATAGTTGATTTCTTCCCTCTTGTTTCAAACATTACTCAAAGGCCGCTGGCTTCCTGGTATTCTTAATAAAACTCCAAATCTCTCAGCAAGAACTTTCAAAGACCACAATTTGTGCTTATGCAGTCAAACAGCACCACAGTCTTGATCAGTGTTCTTTTTTTGTCTCATGGATGGTTAGGAAAGTGAACTAAAGAAAATCTGTCCAAAGCTTCATTTTTAAAGAACAGAGAGATGAAAAAGAAATTGGTTTGAAACTGTGGTAGTAGAATTGTGAGAGAAATCTTTCCTTGTCTTTTGCCTCTTGTTAGCATTATAGGACCTGTGCATCTATTCAGTATAAATATTTTAAAAGTTTAAATACCTTATGGGAACCTTGCATGGGTCCTGGATTTTTTAAAGCCATCTATAAAAGACATTTCTGGGCCGGGCGCGGTGGCTCACGCCTGTAATCCCAGCACTTTGGGAGGCCGAGGCGGGCGGATCATGAGGTCAGGAGATCGAGACCACCCTGGCTAACACGGTGAAACCCCGTCTCTACTAAAAATAAAAAAAAAAATTAGCCGGGTTTGGTGGCGTATGCCTGTAATCCCAGCTACTCGGGAGGCTGAGGCAGGAGAATTGCTTAAACCCGGGAGGTGGAGGCTGCAGTGAGCCAAGATTGTGCCACTGCACTCCAGCCTGAGTGACAGAGCAAGACTCCGTCAAAAAAAAAAAAAAAAAAAAAAAGACATTTCTGGAACAATCAGAGAAATTTAAATATGTCAAGTTCTTCGGTGTGACAATGGCACAGCAGTTAGGAGTACATCCTTGGTCTCAGCAGATGTATATATGTTGGAGTACTAAGGTGTGAAATGCCATTATGTTGGCAACTTTCAAATAGTCTGGCCTAAAAAGGTGGTTTTAAAAAGTGAGTAAAAACGCGGGTAAAAAAAATCAAAACTAAGTGTATGTAAGAGAGAATTCACAAATCAAGCAACTGTTAACATTTTGCCACACACAACTAACTATTCATTCAACTTTTCTATGGGCTTAAAAACTTTAAAAATAAAATTTAAAAAAGATTGGGCAAAAATTAAATACAGACCAAAAGAGAAGGTTGGGAGACACTAATCAACTTGCAATTATCCACTGGCTCTAAACTGTACCAAAAATGGTCTCTAAACAAAATCAAACTGGAGATGGTGGTCTTGACTTCATTATTTAAAGCCTGTGCAGCTGCCTTCTATAGCTACAGCAAAATACAACAGGCACAACACTGGCACAAAAGGCACAGTCAGCAGATCCACTACCCAGGTAGCTAAAGTCACAGCTCTTGGCATCCTGGAAGCCATAGGAGCCCAATGCAAAGTCAGATCATGCTTCTAAAGATGCACACTCATGCATGCACACATATAGACACACATACACACACAGTAAAAGAGAAATCTATCTGAGCTCCCGTAAGGAGGGAAGCCACAGGCTGGAATTAAAATATGCTGCCATGTGATAAAGAGCTTATCTATTCTGTGAATCTAGTCTGTTCTAAGAATCAGGTTAGCTTGTAGACCTGTCCAGCTCCTGTTCACAACAGCGAAGATGATGAATGCTGCTTCTACTCTAAAAGACCTTACACACACATACAAACACACACAGAATCACATATTAATTTGTTTTGGAGGGGATACAGAGCAAAGCAAAAGAAAATAGTTCATATAAAGCCATTCTAAGTGCAACAAGTTGTAGCTCATCTTAACTTTGCAAAACATGCTCATTTAATATATAAATCAAATTTTTCTGGGCTTCCCGGATCCTTTGAGCAGGTTTTTTTTGTTTGTTTGTTTGTTTTGGTAGAGACAGGGTTTCACTGTGTTAGCCAGGATGGTCTCAATCTCCTGACCTTGTGATTCGCCTGCCTTGGCCTCCCAAAGTGCTGGGATTACAGGCGTGAGCCACCACGCCCGGTGCTTTGAGCAGGTTTACAAGAAAAGCTAAAGCCTTTCTATGAAAGCGTTAACATTTCAGATAAGCTGACTTTGCCAAGTCCAATGGAATGCCCCTACTCAGCCAAAACTCAAGTTTACATTGATAATCTCAAGAAAAGTAACTTGTTTTATTCACTTTTTTTTTTTTTTGAGATGAAGTCTCACTCTGTTGCAGTGAAATGATCTCAGCTCACTGCAACCTCTGCCTCCCAGGTTCAAGTGATTCTCCCACCTCAGCCTCTTGAGTAGCTGGGACTACAGGCATGTGCCCACACCCAGCTAATTTTTGTATTTTTAGTAGAGACAGGGTTTCACCATGTTGACCAGGCTGGTCTCAAACTCCTGACCTCAAGTGATCCTCCCGCCTCAGCCTCCCAAAGTATTGGAATTACAGGTGTGAGCTACCGCGCCCAGCCACTTGTTTTATTCACCTTTTCTTTTCTTTTTTTTTTTTTTTTGAGATGGAGTTTCGCTCATTGCCCAAGCTGGAGTGCAGTGGTGCAATCTTGGCTCACTGTAACCTCCGCCTCCCAGGTTCAAGCGATTCTCCTGCCTCAGCCTCCCGAGTAGCTGGGATTACAGGCATGCCCATGCCCAGCTAATTTCTGTATTTTTAGTAGAGATGGGGTTTCACTGGCCAGGCTGGTCTCGAACTCCTGACCTCAGGCGATCCGCCCACCTCAGCTTCCGAAAGTGCTGGGATTACAGGTGTGCGCCACCATGCCTGGCCTATTTTATTGACTTTAAAAAATAAAATTAAAAAAAAAAAAAAAGCCAGGCAGGGTGATGTGTGTATAATCCCAGCTACTGGGGAGACTGATGAGGTGGCAGGATCACTTGACCCCAGGAGTTCGAGGTCTGCCTAGGTAACATAGAGAGACCCCCCCATCTCTTTAAAAAAATCAATCAATCAAAGAAACAAAATACTGTTTAGAGATTTTTCTTCAAATCAATTTAAAACCCACCAGAAGTCCCACCCAGCTGGCTTGCTCCATGCTCTGCAGCAGCACCTCCACCCCATTGCACAAAAAACTGCAGTCTCTGAACAGAATGTGCACATGCTCACTGTAGCCACAAGGCCAGACCACTAGAAGGCAAAGAGAGGGACAAGATGAAGGAAGGGCAGTAGGCTTTAGGAAATGTGAGAGGGCAAGTCATTCAAACACAACAGGGTCTCCATAGCAAACTCCATGCCCCAGGTGGTCCTCCAGGTGCAACTTCCTGGGTTCTCCCTTGAGTGTCTGAACAAAGACGCAAGATCTCTAGGGCTATTCCCAGCCAGGGGATGGGGTAGGGGTTGGTTAGCGGGGAGGCAGTAGATAGGGAGAGAAGGGGAGACCTGGATCTAAAAGTGATAGAAACCAAATTAAAAAGGGAACCTTACATACTCTGTCACATCCATTATAACATCTCAGCCCCCATGTGCTTGATTTTCAAATATCAAAAACCCATCACGAGGTAGGAGAATCACCTGAGTTCAGGAAGTTGAGGCTGTAGTGATTCATGATTGCTCCACTGAACTCCAGCCTGGGCAAACCTTGTCTCAAAAAACCCCATCACATGCACAGATAGATAAAAAATGTAAGAAAGCAAATACAGTGAAATGTTAACGGTGGAATATAGATAGTGGGTATATGGGTGTCGACTGCAAAACTCTCACTTTTCCTGCATGCTTGAAATTCACAATATTGGGGGGTGCTTTTACAGAAGATGGGGGAAACCTGGTTTGTAGTTTAAAAGGGAAGGAAAAACCCTTCCAGTCTTGCCTTCCAGTAACTTACAGACAATTCAATGTGCATGGGTAGAGGCATCATGGGGTTAGAGAAGGGGACACCTCATTGAGGATAAACAGCTTAGAATGACACCAGCTTTTTAGCTGGAGTAACAAAAGAACCTAACAGAAACAGGTTTGTGGAGAGAAGAGAAATCTGGTTTTACACATGCTGGGTTTGGTTGGGACATCTGTAAGATGCTGAAGTGGACTTTAGTCACTATGACTTAAGTTGAGTAGTGCCTCAGACCCCACTGACCCTGAATTCTGATGTAGGGAAGATCTTGGGAAGGACCTCAGCATCCAACAAGCTGACTCCGTTTGGCAGGCTTCTTCATCTATCTGTCAGCAAGATTTGCTAAGCAAGAAAACAGAATATGACCACGATTTCACTCATGGAGGTATGTATGGTACAGGGTTTCACTGATTTGTGTACTGATCAACTACTAAAGGCAGGGATACCATCTTAACTGGGAATACCCCAGAAAAATCAGCCACATGTCTATGATTTTTACAGAGACTGGGAGAATATTCAGGCTAGGGGTGGTGGTGATCCTGGCACTCAGCCATATTCTTGGAGACCCCTCTCTCCTTCCAACAGGATGGGATCTGACTACCAGCCTTGGGCAAGCCTCTCACATACTCTAGGGAAGGGACAGATGAGCTTCCTTTCTAGACCCAAGGAATGACTGACCAAAGTCAGCCCTCTTGCCTACTTTTTAAAAATTATTATTATTATTATTTTTTAGAGACAAGGCCTTGCTCTGTTGCCCAGGCTGGAGTACTGTGATGCAATCATAGTTCACTGTAGTCTCGAACTTATGGGCTCAAGCGATCCTCCCACCTTAGCCTCCCAAGTAGCTAGGACTACAGGCACACATCACCACAGCCAGCTAAATTTTTTTAAGAGACAGGGTCTCACTATGTTGCCCCAGCTGGTTTGAACTCCTGAGCTCAAGCAATCCTCTCAACCTCCCAAAGCACTGAGATGACAGGCGTGAGCCACCATGCCCTGGCTGCTTACCTACTTTTTGATCTGAATTCCTAGCTGGCTCACCAGGTGTGTTCCAAAGCCTGACAACCCCACCAGAGGAAAGCACTTTCAGTATTTCAGGAAAGTCACTTGAGAACAAGCCTGACTATACTAAAAAAGGGAGAAAAAAATTACTCTTAACAGAAACAGGTTGTCTTTTATGGAAGATCTACAAGCCCGCCTGAAAATTCTAGTCACTTGCAGCATTCCTGCCCTACCATGGACCCACCAGGCCAGAGTGGAGCCCTCCAGATGCTGCGTGCCCTCTGCAACACATGCTTCACCTCACTAAACAAACAAGGGGTGTCTTTGTTTAAATTTAAAAAAAGAACCTGTCTCACAGGCTACGATTACATCAGCAGAGAGCTCTCATTCTGGGCATCAATCCGGGCTGCTCCACTGGCTTTGAAGCACCCCGGTGCGCGGCGCCTTTGATCTTGTGGTTCCCGCCCGGGGCAAAGCCGATACCATCACAGCGCCCACGCGGGATCCGAGATCATCATGATTGCCCGGCCAGCGCAAAGCCATGGCCTCGCCCGCTCGGTCCCCCACCCCACTTGGGCTCCACCCCAGACCCAGCCTCTAGACGTGGCTGCCAGTGCATGAGCAGTGAAACACATACACCATCTCTCAGGGAGTGTGGGGTTGCCCCTTGGGAGGGGACATCACTAGCTTAACATTTGTGGGAACAGCCTTGAGATCATGTTTTTTAAAAAGAAGCTTTTATAGATATTTTAGAAATATTTACGGGCAGGGAAATGATATGGCTGGCTTTGCTTCAAAATAACATGAGGGTGGCATGGGGGTGTAAGTGAAACAAGCGGGGCCAGGTGTTGACAACTATTTTGGGTGATGGTGAGTATATGGAGGGACGGTGTGTACATAACATGTTCTATCTATTGGAGTCTACATGTAACATTTCCTATAATAAAAGCTTGAAAAAAAAAGGAACTTCTGACCCTTTGCTATTTTTAAAGTTTATTCCTTGCTTACTTTTAAGAAGGAAAAAAAGCCGTTTGAGACTGGCGGGTGTGAGGGTAGATCACATCTGACTTTCCTAATGTGTCCCCAGGACACTCACTGGAGCTTCCAGAGGGGTGCAGGCCACAGACACAGCTTCTCCAGTACAATCCCTGCATGGGGAGGGGCATTAGCGGCACCTCTATCAGGGGATCTTCACCAGTTTTGGGATGTAGAGTCCATCTCTCCAGAAAAATACCCATGAACACAGCAGACCAGGAGGAAATACAAGAACCCACTCTCAAAAATCCACTACTTACAGAAATCAGATTAGAAATGGCCCCTGGAGTAAGCGCCCCAGGTTGCTTCATTTTATCAACTCCTTTCCTTTAAGAGCTACAGGCACTTGATGAGCCACTGAACTCCCAACACCAACATATGGGGCCATCACGGGGCACAGCACATCCCTGGGGCTATGTCACAAGGCCAGTTTTTCTCCTTACTGGATGTACAGCCTTGGATAAGTCACTTAACTTCTCCAAGCCGGTTTCCACATTTTAAAAAGGGAGCACTATTCATGCTGGCCCTGTGTCTTTACACCTCTTCTGCTACACGTTTAACTCAGGAGTAAGAAAAGAAAAAAATGCTAAGAAGGAAAAGGTTATATGGGGGCACAAGCATGATTCCACCCACAGCTGTGGCGGAACATGCCACATATAGATCGGGCACAAAAGAGTTAACTGGGAAACGGACATGGGCCAGGACTGCTAGGTGTGTTCAAGGCCAGAATTTCATACACCCAAGGCCAGAACGCAGAGGGACTGGGAGGGGATGGAGAAGGGAAAACAAATCTTTCCCATACAGGTGGATCCACCTTTGGGAGGTCAAACCTAAAATTCCAGTGGAAGCCATCAACCTAACAAACTACAGAAAGGGTCAAGAAAACAAAATATATTATCATAATGGCTAAAAAAGATTAGAAGTATGTTCAAGAACACAATTGTAACAGTGCGAATACGGATCCAAGAAATTACTTAGAGAAAAAGTTATAAGAACAACAAAGTAAAAAAGTAAACAGGCATCTAGGGTGCTAAATAGCAACAACAGCAAATTTTAAATAACATGCATTTATTTACTTTCATCTTGAAGGGGTCTAGGTCAAAATTTTCACTATAGACTGTTTGCCAGCAAAATTACACAAACAAAAAAATAATTACAACAAACTAAAATTCCCTGATTCATTCAAGTAACCCGATTTAAAGTAAAGGTTAAACATCCTTAACTGAAAAACGCAAAATCCAAAAGGCTTCCAAATCTGAAGCTTTCTGAGCACCAACATGACACCACAAGTGGAAATTCCACACATAAGTACTTAAGAGGAACTTTGTTTCATGCACAAAATTATTAAAAATACTGTATAAAATTACCTTCAGGCTATGTGAATAAGGTGTATATGAAACAAATGAATTTCATGTTTAGACTTGAGTCTCACCCCCCAGACATCTCATTATGTATATGCAAATATTCCAAAATCCGAAACACTTCTGGTCCCAAGCATTTAGGATAAGGGATACTCAACCTATATATTAATCCTAACGTAGCACAGATCCTATTAAAAATCTCTCTAGTTAATCATTTTATTCCTTTTTGGGGAAACTAATTTCTTCCATTCCTATTAACAGTTAGAAAGATAATAGCATTTCAGTCCCAGATCTTTGCACAGCATACAACCTAGGCCCTGTGGAATGCTGTGGGGGAATATGAAACAGTTCAGAGGGGAATACGAAGCAGTTCAGAAGGCATGCTGTTGACCTCAGTGAACTTACAATCTAGTTAGGGAGACAGACACATCTACAAGTTAAACAACACAAAACAATATTAAGTGTCAAATGAGTTGCCAGACCAGATTGTTTCAGGTTCGGAGGCAGCAGAGGCAACTGGGTGCTGCATTAGTCCAACAGAGCTTCCTGGAGGCAGCAGCATTGAAAGATGGGCAGAATGTGGGCAAAGATGCAAATAAAGGCCAAAGCTCATTCGGAGGAGCCCTTTGACTAGAGGCAAGGGGCTCTGTGGTTGGATGCCAAAATGCAAAGACAGACTGGGCACAAAATGTCAAGGGCTTTAGAATATTAGGGGAAGGCGGGGTTAGACTCCATCCTATAAGCAGTAAAAAGCTCTGAAAGGTTTGTGAAGGGGAGCACATCTGGCAGCCGAGTAGCAGAAGGGGAGAGGAGGTATGGAGCCCTAAGTGAAACAGACTACTAGGGGTGGGGGGGGCTTCCCACTTAAAAGAGAAATGACTGCCCCTCAATGAACCGGAGGGAACCATGTGCTGATGCTACCAGTTGTGGTTTGGTGGGGGTTTTTTAAACAATGGGGCAAAGATCAAAAGAAACTGTTTGCAAATGACAGCCCTCCTACTCCTCTGACTGGTCATTTCTATCCCTTTCATCTTCCCTCCTGTTTGAAATTCAGGTGAAAAGGAGAAGCATGTGGCCAGTGGGCTGGGAACCTGCCAGCCTGGCCCTGGGTCTAGCCCCGTGTGTGACTGGGGGCAAATCACTCAAACTTTCCCAGGCCTTGGTTTCCCCCATGAGCTAAGGAGGGTCAAGCACAGGATCTCAAGCCCCTTGAAGTAAGTGCCAAGTCTGGTTCTAGGCTGGGGAAAGACCAAAGCCTACAGCTAAGGATTCCAAGGGGTACAGGCTACCCGTCAATCCCTGACACCAAGACCTTCAACCGTAACAAAGCTGCAGTTACAGAGCAGCCATCTTCCCAACCCTTTCTAATGAGAGGGAAAAAAGCATAGCTATTGTAAAGTCAACACAGAGAATGAGAAATAAGAAAAGTTTCTTTTCAGTAACCGCAAGGCAAAACGCACTCATGTGTATTGAAATATAACTGATCAATAAGAGTCTGCTGGCCAGGTGCTGTGGCTCACGCCTGTAATCCCAGTACTCTGGGAGGCCGAGGTGGGTGGATCACTTGAGGTCAGGAGTTCGAGACAAGCCTGGCCAACATGGTGAAACCCCATTTCTACTAAAAATACAAAAATTAGCTGGGCGTGGTGGTGGGCACGTGTAATCCCAGCCACTCAGGAGACTGAGGCACGAGAATCGTTTGAACCCGGGAGGCAGAGGTTGCAGTGAGCCAAGATTGCCCCACTGCACTACAGCCTGGGCAACAGAGCGAGACTCTGTCTCAAAACAAAAAATAAAATAAAATAGGCCAGGCACGGTGGCTCACACCTGTAAACCCAACACTTTGGGAGGGGGAGGTGGGTGGATCCCCCAAGGTCAGGAGTTCGAGATCAGCCTGGCCAACATGGTGAAACCCCGTTTCTACCAAAAAAAAAATAGCTGGGCATAGTGGCGGATGCCTGTAATCCCAGCTACTCGGGAGGCTGAGGCACGAGAATTGCTTGAATCCAGGGTAGGTGCAGAGGTTGCAGTGAGCCAAAATTGCACCATTGCACTCCAGCCTGGGCAACAAGAGCAAAACTCCATCTCAAAAAATAAAATAAAAGTCCACTGATGAATATAACATGAGTCAAAACAGCCAGAATGAACAGAGTTCAATGTTCCACCTCTTTCCTTAAAAACAGCTTCTGATCAGGTTTGGGGCACAGAATTAAATTTCACCCCCTCATCGCTTATTGTAACTTACATCTCTTAAGAGTAAAGGGGGCCAGGTGTGGTGGCTCATGCCTGTAAGCCCAGCACTTTGGGAGGCTGAGGCAAGCGAATCACCTGAGGTTAGGAGTTCGAGACCAGCTTGGCCAACATGGTGAAACCCCACCTCTACTAAAAATACAAAAATTAGCCAGGCATGGTGGCACGCGCCTGTAATCCCAGCTACTCGGGAGGCTGAGGTGCAGTGAGCCAAGATCGCACCACTGCACTCCAGCCTGGGTGACAGAGTAAGACTCCGTCTCAAAAAAAAAAAAAAAAGTAAAGAGGCTAAAAGTCTAACCGGGTCTGTATTTCCATACCTGCATCAGTAGGTAAGAGGACCTTGGATAAGTCATCTCACTTTTTCCAGCCTCCCTTTCCTCATCTATTCAATGAGGACAACAGCAGCAACCAGCATAGGGATGTTATGAGGAATAAATGAGATCATTAATGTTGGGTGCTTAACCCAATACCTGGCAAAAGCCAACAATAAATGTTAGCTCTATGGTATTATTTTAGATCTGTCTAAGGGACACTCCTTGTCTAAGGGAGATAGGAAGTAGTGTAATAAGATGTAAGAAATCCATATGAAGGCATTTTCCAGGAAAGAAGGGACTGCAAACTCCAGTTCAGAAATAACTTGTGTGGTCCCCTCTGTGGGGAGAAACAGGTTGGCATTCTTCTCTAGAAAATAACAGCTGCCTCTCCTCCCATCTTGCCCCAACCCCTCCTTGGCTGCAAATACTCAAGGATTAAGAAGACATTCAAGCTTTGTTCCGTCTCATTTCTGCTCTGGCATTCTTCTCTTTGGCCTCTTTATCCTAAATGCCATTTCTGCTCAACTGCAGGCTTTACAGTAGAGAAGTGTCTTGCACTTTCTCAAGGTGCCCCCAATCCGGTATTTCCACCAGCCCAACTTTATTGATGGGAAACCCAAGGTTAAGAGAAGTCAGCACCACTGACTTCATGCCCAGCGTTCTTTTAGGCTGCTGTGCTTTGACCTGAATCAGAGATGGGATCAGTGGCAGCTTTCCTACCCCAGTAGGGAGCAAGAACAGGGCTGGCCACTTTAGGACGAAGTGGAAACATTGTAGCTTCGCACATACCCCAGGATACCACCCTGACTCAGACCCGCCCTAGGGAAAAGTGCCTTCAAAGGGATTCCAGCCACCAGGCAAGCTTGGTGGCTGTATTCTAACTATCTCTCTTGAAAAGAAATACTCCTTTTGAGGAGACTTTACACACACACACACACACACACACACACACACACACACACACACGCACACATGCAGATACACATACACACACGTGTGCATACACACACACGCACGCACCCACACATGCACATGCCAGCTGCAACTAGGCTCCAAGCTGTAACTATGTGAGGAGAACCACTCAGCTCTATAGGTTACGAGGAAGGCTGTGGGGCTCAGTCACCCAGCAAACTCCCTGGAAGAGAAATGCATTCAAGCCCCACTCCAGGTTTTATTCTTCACCAGGTTTTACCCTTCACCGCTTCTCCTAACACTTCAAAGGAAGTATTTTTGTACAGCCCAGGGAGGAGTGTAAACTGGCCAGCTGCTTCCAAAGCAGAGAAGTTAACCCTAAAAGGGCCGCTGGGCTGGCAGGGCAGGGGGAAGGCAAACAAGGTCGTGGGGAGTTGGGCATTTGAGTCCCCACACTTCGCCAGGCCTGCCTTTCAGCCCACACCAAGGGCACAGCTCTTAAACCACTACAGAAAGGCAGGACTTCAGTTCCTCTAAGCACGCAAACAGCTAGTTATAAATACCCTCCCAGGCTAGAGGTTCAAAGGATCCAGCAGTTAGCACTTCAATGGAAACTCCAGCTAACAGAACAGGCCTCTTGAGCACTGCTCACTGTTCAGTCCAGGCAAAGAAATGAAGAACCCAAAAGCTACCACCACAAAACCTGTCCCCAAAAGCCCAACTTGGCTTGGTGGCCAGGGGACAGCACGCCCTCTGCAGTGTTCTAACGACTGAGCCTGTTCTAAATGGTACCCTGTGGAGGGGGCCTCCCCTCACTGTGTACTCTGAATGGCAAGCCAGGAGATCCTTTCCAAGGGGCAGCTGAGGGAAGATAAAGACCCTATGTCCTTTTGGCCTTTTTAAAAGCTTTTTTTCTTTTTAAAGAGAGGGAGTCTCACTATTGCCCAGGCTGGATTCAAACTCCTGGGCTCAAAGGATCCTCCCGCATCAGCCTTACAAGTAGCTGGGACTATAGGCACCCAGCTATAAGAGCTTTTATATACTCTTCAAATTCTTCAGCCTACAGAGAGTATATCTTACCCAAATTTAGATTTAACATTCTTCAGTTACCTTGTTGAAATGAGGGGATCCTTCCTAGTAAGATTAAGTGGACACCACACAGGACACTCCCCAGCTCACCAGTGATGCAGCAAACTTCTGTGCACAGATGGCTGACAACACAGCCTCCTGAGGAGTTGGCAGTTAGATCAGAATGGGCTTCTCTCAAGAGCACACATACCTAGTGTCGTGTGTGTGTGTGTGTGTGTGTGTGTGTGTGTGTGTTTTATCCCCAACCACTCCATCGCAAAGGACATGGACTCTACTGGAACCCCAAGACATCCTGGCAGTCCTTAGTTTCCTGTGGGAGTGCCAGGTGAGGACCTGGGAGCATTCAGGTGGGGCTGAGCTCCTGCCACCTGGCCGACGCTTCTAGGCAATCACACAGTGGCAGGCAGATGAGCGTTCACCCCATCCACTGGCAAGGGCATCCTATAATTTACTGACACTGAAAAGTATGCTATAAATAGTTGGTATTTTTAATGTTGTCGGGCCTCCAGAATAGAGGGGGCCTAACAGCTGTGTGGGGCCAGGGTTCCAGGCATCTAAAGGCTACAATTTGGAAATCCTGGGCGGTATAGTCAAAGCATCTTCAAAGAAAGGAACTCCAAGAGCGTCACACTCCATCTAAAGAGACTACGGTAAGGAGAAAAAGCCTGTCAAAACTATCAGTCAGGACTTACAAACCACAATTTAGCAGAAGAGTGAACAGCACTGAGGGTCTCTTTGTGGGGAGCTCCACAATTCAAAAGCAAAAGGGACAGCGGCCAGAATAATCCCTAAACCCCAAGCTGCCAATTCTACCAAAGACACAACAGGATGCTCCTGATTAAATAAGCACAAGATGATTAAGAGGATGCCTTTAGTCACTCAACAATTTTTTTTTAACCTTCACTCTGCTAAGTGCTGAAAATGCAAAGAACAAAACATATGAGCTTTTTTGACACAATTTTTGGTGCACAAGGGCAATAAAAAGTAAACAATTTCCAAAAGTGAAGAGAATAACTAATAATTTTAAATCTAACTACACTACAGGTTGGCATGACATTATGAACCTAAAATGAGTTATACTCCAGTAACTGAGTTATTTCTACCCTCTCCAGACAGCAATTACATTTAAAAAATAAAAATCTCAGCCAGGCATGGTGGCTCATGCCTATAATCCCAGCACTTTGGGAGGCTGAGTCTGATCCCTTGAGTCTAAGAGTTCAAGACCAACCTGGGCAACCTAGTGAGACCTCGCCTCTACAAAAAAATAAACAAAATTAGCCGGGCACAGTGGCACCTGCCTGTAGTCCCAGCTACTCGGGAGGCTAAGGTGGAAGAATTGCTTGAGCCCAGGAGGGGGAGGCTGCAGTGAGCTGTGATGGCACCATTGTACTCTGGCCTGGGCAACAGAGCAAGACCCCATCTCAAAAAAATTAAATGTAATTTAAATTTAAAAAATAAAAATCTCTACATTCATTTATTCTTTTGAAATAACCCTCCCAACTAGGTTTCCTAAAACTAAAAAAGTATGAAGGAAGGGAGGAAGGGTGGTGAACAAACTTAGACCTTGAGCACTTACTAACTCTAACGTAAATGCTTAAGTCAAAAGAAGACATAAAGTTAGCACTGGATGCATGGGGTGGGATATGGGGGCGGTGCCCGTGTGTGTGTCAGTGGTCAGACCTACTCAGGCAAAATTAAAGACAAATATCTTAAAGCTGTTACTGAAACTGTACAGTCTGATTTTTAGCCTTTTAATCTTTTTCGGAAATCATCAAAATTGTTTGCTTGGGCAGACATTAGAATGAATTCTATCTATAATATCACGGGTAGTCCAAAGTATTCCACTTTGTCCTTCCAAAACTAAGGCAAGTCCAGAAGATTCCAAGATGGTGAGGGACTTCAAAACCATCTCATATAAAGAACGGAAAGAACTGGGGGTTCTCAGCAAGGAAAAGACAAGTGACAAGAAAATCACCTTCAGAAATCTGGAGGGTCATCATGTCTTAATGGCTCTGTGTTATGGGCAGAGTTCTGTCTCTCAAAAATTGATATGTTAAGGTCCTAACCCCCAGTACCTCAAAATGTGACTACCTAGAGAGAGGGTCTATAAAGAGGTGACCAAGTTAAAGCAGGTCATATAGGTGGGCCCTAATACAATATGAGTGGTGTCCTTATAAGAAGAGAAAATTTGGACACAGACAGTTACAGATGGAAGGCCACGTGAAAACATAGGAAAACCATCACTTTATAAGCCAAGGAGACAGGCCTCAGAATAAATCAACCCTGATCACCTTGATTCTGGACTTCTAGCCTTCAGAATCATGAGTAAATATGTCTGTCATTTAAGCCACCTAGCCAGTGGTACTTTGTTATAGCAACCAAAGGATACTTAATATACTCTAGAAGACAGAACCAGAACCAAGGAGCAGAAGAAATTTGGTTCAGTGTAAGGAAGAACGATTTCTGATAATCTGCATCTGCAAAAAGAGAACGCCTCCCCTCTGGGGTTTGGGGGTATGACAGGGGATGGGTCCTGAACTAAGGCTAAGCCCTACCATTAATACACAGCAGAGCCTGGGGCCTCATCGAAAGCTAGAGGCAAAAGGCTGAATGTCCCAGGCTAGACAGAGCTCAGCTGCCAACAATATCCATCAGGTAGGTTAACCTAATTTTTTTTTTTTTTTTTTTGAGACGGAGTTTCATTCTTGCTGCCCAGGCCGGAGTGCAATGGCGCCATCTCGGCTCACTGCAACCTCCGCCTCCCAGGTTTAAGCAATTCTCCTGCCTCAGCCTCCCGAGTAGCTGACAATATAGGCATGCACCACCATGCCTGGCTAATTTTGTATTTTTAGTAGAGACGGGGTTTCACCATGTTGGTCAGGCTGGTCTCAAACTCCTGACTTCAGGTGATCCTCCCACCTCGGCCTCCCAAAGTGCTGGAATTATAGGCGTGAGCCACCGTGCCCGGCCTCCAACTTTTAAAGTTTAAAAAAAAAAAAAAAAAAAAGCTCTATGTCAACAGTCTATGAAATATGACACATATTTGGAGAAGAATTTAAACTCCTCATCTCAGTTTCCTCTTAGCATCTCAATGGGGGATATCTCAGCCCCGCTTATGTCACACACATCCTTCCTATGGGCAGCTAGAGTCAGCAGAGCCTATTTACTCTTCCCTGCATTAACCAAGGTAGACTAACCCGGAAAATGCACTTCCATTCAACTCAGCCCAGCACTTCCAAGGCACCAGGTCTCCAAAACCAGATAGCCAAGCTCAAGGCCTAAGAGTCACAGAAGGTGGCCACCTCGAAATCCAGGATGCCAACCCAGCAGTGGGGGCCTGCAGATCAGCCAGAGGGAGTTCTCCTTCCAGAAGGAACCAAATGTTCCCCAGTACTTTGGGTCCTTTGAGAAAAAGGAGTTCTGGGATCAAATACATCTGGAAAGTACCAGAAGGAGTTCTTATCATGCATTTCATCCAACTCTAAAATGTCTACCTTGCGGGGAGTCTAAGAGACTTTCACACATAGTACATTACACACAGAGGCGGGGCAAACGAAGAGGCATTTAGGGCTGCAGGGGTCGGGGGGACTCCTCTATCTTATCTGCCCGCCATCACAGTACCCAAAGTTTGGTAAGTCAAGTCACAATAAAGGCTGCCCCTGCTTCCTGTGGCCCCCACCTGCCTACAAGACAGGCTACAAAATGCCTACAAGACAGGCTACTTGACATTATTTCATACCTACTTGGACGGTGGTACTGTTTAACTCCTTCATGAATCTTCCCATTCCAGTAGAAATTAAATTCTTCAAAGAGAAGCACTGTTTCTTGGTTCTTTTATACTACAACTCCCTATACCCCATCACCCAATTATAGAGAAGACCACAAATCTAAGCTGAAATGGAAGAAATAGTCCTACCACAGTTCAAAGGTGTTCAGGCCATTCATTCTAGGTGGTGATGACTCTATCCCAGGGCCCTGTGGAAAGCTGGTAGTTAACTTGGTGTTGGCCTTCCATCCTCATAATCTAACAGGACACCAACTGAACCAGTGCAGACCCTAAACTAACCTAATACTGGCTACCCGCCACTCCATATCCCCTAGCACCTTGAGTCCTTTGAGAAAAAGTTCTGTGATCAAGTACATTTGGGAAGTACCAGATTAAATAAAGTGAAAGACCGCTCTTCAACAGAATTTCTCAGAGCCATTAATTCACTACTGTGCAGAATATATCTCTAAGAGAAAACTAGGATCAACAGTATTTCTCAAATACTGAGCCCCACCATTAATGCATAGCATAGATCCTCATAGAACCCTTTCACCACAGAACATTGTGCAGGACTGCTGTTCTTCAGGCGATGCCTTGAGAAAAGCTCATCTTGGGCATACTCCAGAAAAATGTGCAATTGGCTTAAGAAAGTATACATCTATTTTAATACAAGTGTACCCAATGTTCTAAAAATCCACAACTTCCCAAGCCAAGATAAATCAAGCCGCTCAGTAAAGACTCAAATCGGCAAGGATTCGAAAACTGTGTCCCTGCCGGGTGCGGTGGCTTACGCCTGTAATCTCAGCACTTTGGGAGGCCGAGATGGGTGGATCACCTGAGGTCAGGAGTTCAAGACCAGCCTGGCCAACATGGTGACACCCCATCTCTACTAAAAATACAAAAAATTAGCTGGGTGTGGTGGTGGGCGCCTGTAATTCCAGCTACTTGGGAGGCTGAGGCAGGAGAATCACTTGAACCCGGGAGGCGGAGGTTGCAGTGAGCTGAGATTGAACCATTGCACTCCAGCCTGGGCAACAAGAGCAAAACTCCGTCTCAAAAAAAAAAAAAAAAAAAGAAAGAAAAGAAAACCGTGTCCCTGAGCCTAGATGGACGGTCTTTGTGGATCTCCAAAAGAACTGGAGAGTGGCAATTCTCCCTATCTTATCCAGACAATAATGAAGTTAAGGCGAGCCTCAGCCTCCCTCCCCTGGAGTGTTTGTGCTACAGCTGACATCTTTCCTAGGGACAATAATTGAGTGCTTTAAGAGGCGGGCTCCTTGATCCCCGGATGTAATCCAGCATAGCTAAAAGATAAGAGATAAGATCAAGCTTAAAAAAAGAGTTACTTAAGCAGAAGGGAATAAAGGTCACAAGGAGCTGATACTATGAGAAGCCGGGTTAAGATGAAAACCAAAAATTAAACATTCTAAAGAAAATTCTGCCTGGACTGGCCCAGTCCATTCTGCACCTCTTGCCCTAAATAAAAAAGCTGACACGTGCTTTGGTTCTGGCCAGAGCAGGCAATGTTTCTGGAACAACTTCACCTTGGTTACATATTTCTACTTTAAACATTCCAAAGTTGCTGAAGGCCTCCCAGGAGCATCTGCTCCTGTTTCTCGGGAGGGAGTTAGTTCCTGTGGAAAGTGTTTGTTTAGTTTGATTACAACTTTGAAGAGGGCTAGGAATTCTGGCTCAGAAGAATTTAATGGCCGGGCCCTTCTCTTACATAATTTGTAAACAAACAAAGTTTATCCCAGTGTGGCTCATTTGGCTCACTGGCTGGATTTAGAAAAATATATTCCTCATTCATTTGGGGGAAGCCGCAGTAAGGCCTGTCAATAACCAGAAATGTCTAAACCAGCCTACCACTCTATTGCCTAATCCTAAAGGACCATGTTCAAGAGAGCACACTCACTATCTCCCTTCTGAAACCCAGGGCAGTCAACAGATGGAGCCCAAACTGAGGGGTTAGGGGCAGGACTCGAAAGGCAACTGAGGAATTGCTCCCCAGAAGTTTCTACATACTCATGATATATAAAAAAAAACTCTCAGAAAAAACAAAGTGCTAACCAAGGTCAAATGCCATGGCAGCAATTTTCTTCCAAGGTGTCATGAATGGTCAAGTGTACGGGTAGAAAGCTATTTGTTACTAATAACAGCTAAAGGCCAGAGTTGGCATGTGATTTATTTATCTTTAATAAAGTGAATTCAAGGTTGTCACTAGAACATCACTTACTCCCTTACATTCCAGACTGTTCTCAAGAGAGGAGTGACTGCTGGAAAACTGCCCCTGAATAAGCCTGCCGACTGCTGTGCAGTGAGGGCTGCAATTACATACCATGCTGCTGGAGGACACAGGGCAGGCGGGAGTTGTGTCACCAAAAACACGGTCATGCACATAGACATCACCTATATTCTGACTATGGGACCCACTGGTCTCCATGATAAAAGTCACATACCCTTTTCTGGCATTCAAAGCCCCTCTTATCCCTCCCCTAACTTGCCCTCCAAAGTTCTTTCCCTCCCCAATTCCCCAGTTAGTGTGCTTCTTCCCCACTTACACTTCTGTCCCCAGACATCCTTCAGAGGCACAGCTGCAGATCCCCCAATTCCCCCCAGGAATCTCATCTAGCCCCACACCCAGTTTGCAGATGTGGAGACTGAGGCTCAGAAAGGCTGAATCCAATAGATCCCACTTAAATGACAGACCAGAGAGCATAGCAGATCTGTTGTCTCCCAGCCGCACCTCACTTGGCCTCTTCTTTCTCCCCGCCCTGCCATGGGCACATTCTATGCCAGGCAGCCTCCAGGTCTACACAAGCTAGAAAAAGCTCCACTAGTTGCCAGCCTAGCCTGGGTCTCAGCAAGAAATGCCTTCCCCATAGCAAGAGCCAGCAGGAGCAAATCCAAGCACCAATCTTCCTTAAGAGTCCAGCTGGAGGTCCACCCCCAAGACCTTTCTCTGATTTCTAGGCACTTTCTCTGGGCCCCAAGCATTTGGCACTCAGCCTATGCATGTTATACTGTCACCATCTCAGGGACACATCTGACTTTCCCACTGGTCCATAAGCCCTCCCTCAACAGACATGCAGGAGGAGGCCAGCATTCACTCGGTGATTCTGTGAACACTATTCAGAAAATATTCAGTGCCACATCCATCAACCCTTGCCAGAAAATAAGAGGACATTAAAGCTGGCACTCAGAAAGCAAACCACAGCCAGACACACCTTGAAACATCCAAAGCCTGTTGCAGACCTCACTTTTGTACCCAATAATTCGGTAACAAAGTGGACCATCATGAAGAGGCCAAGACTGCTTACGTCCTCTAGGAAAGGACAGAACTAAGTTACTTTGCTTTTTTTCTTACTATCTTCCAGATCCAAAGTCTGATGGAGAGGCTGGGCATGGTGGCTCATGCCTGTAATCCCAGCACTTTGAGAGGCCCAGGTGGGCAGATCACTTGAGGTCAGGAGTTCGAGACCAATCTGGTCAACATGGTGAAACCCCGTCTCTACTAAAAACACACACAAAAAATTAGCCGGTTGTGGTGGTGGGCACCTGTAATCACAACTACTCAGGAGGCTGAGGCAGGAGAATCGCTTGAACCCAGGAGGCAGAGGTTGCAGTGAGCTGAGATTGCACCACTGCATCTCAGCCTGGGCAACAAGAGCAAAACTCTGTCTCCAAAAAAAAAAAAAGTTAATGGAGAAAGTGAGGCTCCCAAATACAAATCAGGCCAGGTGCAGTGGCAGGAAGATCATTTGAGGCCAGAAGTTCAAGACCAGCCTGGGAAACATAGTAAGACCCCTGTCTCTAGAAAAAAAAAATTAAATTAGCTGGGCGTGACCAGCCATGGTGGCTCACACCTGTAATTCCAGCACTTTGGAAGGCCGAGGTGAATGGATCCCTTGAGCCCAGGAGTTTGCAACTAGCCTGAGCAACATGGTAGAACCCTTTCCCTACCACCAAAAAAAAAAAAAAAAAAAAAATTAGCCAGGCATGGTGGCATGCGCCTATAGTCCCAGCTACTCAGGAGGCTGAGGCAGGAGGATCCCTTGAGCCTGGGTGGTGGAGGCTTCAGTGAGCTGAGATCACGCCCCCGCACTCCAGCCTGGGTGAAATCAAGTTTCATCTGATTCATTTTATGAATGAGGAAAGTATGTGGGCTAAAGGAAGGCGCTGTTTTCTTTTCACTGAACTACATTTCTAGGAAGATAAGCATGCAGACCTGATTTGCATAGTCACTCTGTATCAGCAAGGGAAAGTTTTGGTTTGATTATTTTCTGAGAAAAAAAAAAATACCATGAAAATCATCCTGATCTGAAGGCGGAGTCCACAGTAAGGTTAGTAAACAGGCCCAACACGCCCCCAGGAGAGGTCCATGCTTAAAAGCTGTTAGCCCCAAGTTGCTGTCCATTCCCAAAGAGCAACTCTTCCATAGGTAGCAATAGTTAAAATCAGGAAGAGCTTCAAAGCTCTAAAAAGTGGCTCAAAATCAAAAGACTTTCTTCAGACAAGTGTGCCTAAAAAACCCAACAGAGGCTGGGCGCGGTGGCTCACGCCTGTAATCCTAGCACTTTGGGAGGCTGAGGCAGGCAGACTCAGGAGTTCGAGACCAGCCTGGGCAACATGCTGAAACCCTGTCTCTACTAAAATACACACACACAAAAAAAATTAGCTGGGTGTGGCAGCGTGCACGTGTAATCCCAGCTACTCAGGAGGCTGAGGCAGAAGAATTGCTTAACTCAGGAGGCAGAGGTTGCAGTGAGTCGAGATCGTGCCACTACACGCCAGCCTGGCAACAGAGCAAGACCCCATCTCAAAAACAAACAAACAAACAAACAAAACACCCAACGGAGACACCAGGCCCTCATCTGGGGACCAATGGTCTCTACTAGACCAATAGCTTCATCTTTGCTCTCCACCCAGACAAATCTAATCACCGCTTTAAAAAACACAAACTGAAAGCACAGGTCTTATCATTGTATTATTAATGCAGGCCTTCTTTTTCTTTAGCAAAAGCAAATTTGCATCCAACTGACCGCGCATCCAGCAATCCGGCTAAGTCTAAAGAAGGAGAGCCAATGCAGAATGGATTTTGCTTCTGTTCTTAGTTTTGACATCCAGGGAATGGGGTGACATGCCCCATAGGACACAGGGCAAATGATGCTCCACAAGGATCATTTAAAAAAGCAAACATCACCACGTACAGGCCCCAGTGGTTACTAATTCAACCCTCTTGGACTTCTTTTTCCCTAAAGGTTGCTAGTTAGTGACTCTCGCATATCCCCACCAAAAGAGACTTGCACACGGCCCAACGCTAGTTCAAGATGTGTTTCTAGATATTACTGCCTTCTCTACAGCATGATTGGCATGCAACATACACCAAGGACAAAAGGAGGCCACCAAGACTCCCAGGAGAAGGTAAGTTAACATAGAGGGTTGTTGAGGGTTCTTTGGAAAGAAAGCTGAGCTTCACTTCATTCTCAATCACCTTATGGAGATGACTTGCAGCCAATTTCCATTGCATGCTGCATTTTCTCTGTCATTTTGCTTTCTTCCAAACCATCTTTTCAGTTTTTGTTTTAGCTGAACAGAAGCTAGTTTTAATGTGAAATTAAACATGCTATTTAAAGAAAGCATGAATAAGAGTTGAATATAAATGACCTACTCCAGTGGTCCCTCCAAACAGCCAAATAAAAAATTAACATTATTTTCATGATCCAAAAGTAGAGCATCATGTTAGCTTCAAATCAATAGTGCATTTAGAAAACGCCCACTTCCCTCTGAAAGCTTGCTTGCTAATTCAAAAGGAAAGACATAGAAATGACCTCAAATCTATTTTAGAGGCTTGTAACTATACAAAGACAACCACAAATGCTTTTCAATTGTATCTTTTGTTCTAGATTCAATATGTTACCAATCAACTCAGCAAGTGAAAGTGTGCTGACACCACTCTGCACCATGCGCTGTGGGCAGGGAAAAAGTTCTACCACATAACCATCCCCACTGATTGCAAAGGGGTACAGGGGTGTGGAGAATGGGACTTATGTTTCAAGACAGCCAGTGACTCAGACAATGAAACTCTGCAGAGAAAAAAGCTAGTACCAGTAATCAAATCTAAATATGCTGCTGGGTTGGAAAACCAAATGAAAGCAAAATCTTATCAACAAATCCCCATGGAACCAGACCATGAAAGGCACGGACACCATCTGGGCACTGTGGGGAACCATGCGGCCACCACCTGCTCCCTTGGTGAGTCGCTTGTACATTCTCAAGGACCATAAAGTTTTCATGTAGAAGAGACCAGAGAAATTGGAGAAAATTAGATAAGATTAAAATGAGAGTTGAAGGACAGCACAAGGCCATGTAAGATACATGGTCAAATGCAGTGTGGCTGTGCCATTTGGCACCTTGGCATTTTATGTGAAAATGACTCCATGTGGCCAGGCACGGTGGCTCATGCCTGTAATCCTAGCACTTTGGGAGGCCAAGGTGGGCAGATTGCCTGAGCTCAGGAGTTCGAGACCAGCCTGGGCAACATGGTGAAACCCTGTCTTTACTAAAATACAAAAAAAAAAAAAAAACTGGACGGGCGTGGCGGCGTGTGCCTGTAGTCCCAGCTACTCGGGAGGCTGAGGCAGGAGAATTGCTTGAACCCGGGAGGCGGAGGTTGCAGTGAGCTGAGATGGTGCCCCTGCACTCCAGCCTGGGCGACAGAGCGAGAGTCCATCTCAAAAAAAAAAAAAAAGAAAGAAAGAAAGAAAAGAAAATGACTCCGTGAAAATCTTTCTTCAGGTGGCAATTAACATTTTAGCTCAAATTCTCCCAAGAAGGGAAAGAGAAAATTGGGAGGTGAGGGGGAGCTGGCAGCAATCAGTGTGATCCAGTGGCTCTGCCAGCGCAGGGTAAGCACTCAATACATATCTGCTGAATGAAAGAAAATAAAAATCCAAGCCAGTGGTTTCTGCCCTGGGTTCCTACTCAGCACCAGCACGTCTCTCTATTGTAGCTGCCAAGTCGTCTTCTAATAGGTGGTTTACCTGATGCTTTCTTGCAGGACTATGAACCCTTTGAGAGTCACAATTTTGTAGCAACAGACACCAACCGAACATGTGTTAAGCACTTAATGTACACCTTACATATATCATCTAATTTTCATAGTCTTTTGGTCGTACAAGCTATCTGTCCCATGTTATAGATGAAGAAGCAGAGGTTCAGAGAGGTTGGATGACCTGGCCAAGGTCACAGAGCTGTCAGTAGCAGGGCTGAGATGCAAAACACAGGCCTATCTGGTCTCAGGGATGTACTCTCCACCACTATGCCCCTTACATGGCAAGAATCTGGTCAGCTCTGAACTCTCACAATGCAACATACAGTAGATTTTAGCCTTGAGAGGTTTCTGTTTTGTTTTGGAGACAGATCACTGTCACCTAGGCTGGAGTGCAATGGTGCCATCTCAGCTCACTGCAGCCTCTGCCTCCCAGGCTCAAGCAATCCACCTGCCTCAATCTCCTGAGTAGTTGGGACTACAGACGTGCACCACTACACTCAGTTAATTTTTAAATTCTTTTTGTAAAGATGAGGTTTCACCACGTTGCCCAGGCTGGTCTCAAACTCCTAGGCTCAAGCAATTCACTTGCCTCAGCCTCCTAAAGTGCTGGGATTATAGGCGTGAGCCACCATGCTTAGCCTCAACAGGCTTTTTTAGCTCTAAGAGGTTAGCAGACTGCCATTGGATTTACCTGCCTCCAATTACCTCATGGTGAGGCTATAAGACACAGTCCTGAGCTCCAGGCCAGCTTCTCCATTCACTCACCAGCTGTATAAACCTCTCTGCACTTTAGTGTCCTCATCTAAAAAAACAGATATGAAATATCTTATCGCTCAGAATCCTCTTAAGGATCTAGTGAGAAAAACAGTATAAGGTCCCAAGAATAGTGTATTCATTCATTCACACATTTCATCAACCACCTATGAGACCTTCAGCACTAAAAGGCTTCCACCTAATAGGAGGCACAGCCAGCAATGATGGAAGAAGCCATGATATCTTCTGGTCTTCTGTCTGCCAGGCCCAGGTAAGTAACAGCAGCTGAGAATTCAGTAATTTGGATTGTTTCACAAGCAGAATGTTTACCCAGAGGCCAAGCTGGAGGAAGCACTATCCTCTGTTCTATCATTTGTTTTGATTGGTACAAAGTTTCCTTTTTCTTTTTCTTAATGGCTTAACAAATCTATGTTGCAGCCCTGTTTTTCCCATCCCTGAGACCAAAATCTTTGATTCTCTGTTATTTTCAGCCAAGAAGTCTAACAGAGCCAAACAGAGCAAGCCTGAAATGATCAGGACAGAATTCTGTCTATCTGAATTTCCTGCCCCAGCTAAAACAGTATCTGCAAAACATACACTGTAAATCATAACTTGCTGAGGCCCCATCAGTGTCAATGCAGGCAAGCAGAGTAGGATATTACAGCCTGGTCATCCATAAAGAGACACATTCAAGGCCAGGTGAGGTGGCTCATACCTATAATCTCAGCACTTTGGGAGGCCGAGGCAGGAGGATTGCTCGAGCCCAGGAATTCGAGATCAACCTGGGCAACAAAGCAAGACCTCATCTCTATAAAAAAGTGAAAAAATTAGCTGGGAGTGGTATCAGGTGCCTGTAGTACCAGCTACTCGGGAGGTTGAGGCAGAAGGATCACTTGAGGAGATCAAGGTGACAGTGAGCTATGATCATTCCACAGCACTTCCAGTCTGGGTGACAGAGTGAGACCCTGTCTCAGAAAAAAAAAAAAAAAGACACTTTCACACAATGCCCAGGTCTGCATGATAGTCTGAAAGCTCTCAGGTCAGCCAAAGAACAGATTCCTGAGCCAGATTAGGAAAAAACTCAGCCTGAAGAAAGTCAAGGGATGAACAGAAGTGCCTTAAGCAATCTCAAGCAGGCAGGAGGATACAGAGAGGTAGCCTTTACCAAAGAAGCAAAAAGAAGGGTCAATCTCATGTGTGTGTGTGAATGCAGCCAGACAGCCTTCGCCAAAGCTGCAAAGGAAACAAAAATAAACTAAACAGGATAAAAGGAAGGCTGTTGCATGAGGAAGAACTTTTGCTCCAGTTAAAAGAGAGAGAGAGAGAGAGAAGAAAAAGAAAGCACACACTGAAATGATCTAAAGCTGCCTATAAATATTTGGGAACATCAAAGGCGGTCCTGTTAAATTAAAAATGCTGTCACACAGATAGGAACTAGCCTCTAGCACTGCCAGCTTCAACATGTGAGCCTGTGATCTGAGGAGCGAAGGCTCAGCTCCTCAAGAAATCTGATTCACTAAAGAAAAAAGTGAACGAGCAGTTGAGTTTTAATAAGGGCATTAAATACCTTAGGAATGAGCTAATTAGAGTTTAACTCTTTCAAGATTGTTCGAGCTCTTAAGAATGCTGTAAAGTAAGCTCCCTCCAGAATCTAGTTAAATCAGTCTCGAAGCCTGCAACGTAAAAGAACAGTATTAAAATAGCACCTTAGGACTTCAAAGCTGATCAATCCCACCAGGTCACTCAGACTTAAAGACAGAGGCCGAGTGAAGAGGAGCCAAGGTTAACTAGGAGTTGTTTTCTGGGGTGAGGTTAGGTTGCTTATTTAAATGCATTTTTTTTTTCCAGTTTAGACTAGATAAGAACAAGCTCACTCTCTAACGCCAGATTAATTCCACCCTGTGAGTATGCCCTTTACCCAAGACACTTTGAGGAGAGAGACAGGGTGTTGAGCGGGAAGGCCCACTGACCTCGCTGGCTTGCTAGCTCACTCACAGGCCACACAAGAAATTCTGGCTGAGCCTCTCAGACACACTCAAGGTCACCATGGGAAGTCACCCAACAGTTTTCCCTATACACATTCTGGATCAGAATCCCAAGAAATCCAGGACAAGTTCCCAGTTAGGAAAGTTCCATCAGGACGGCAAATCCTTTCTTTGGCCTTGACGTAGGAAGGAGTGGAACCTCTTGCGGAAAACACACAAAAAACACACCTTCAGAAAGGGGCAATTTCCTAGCACCTAGTTTCAGGAATGTTAGAGGAGGAGGTAGGCAGTGATGGAACTCACCTTCTCCATTCAAGGAGAGGAATGCAGAGCCCAGTCTTGCTGGAGGAGGGGTTCAGGATGGGGAGGGGATTTAAAAAAAAATTCTGCTCTCCAATCATTCCCATTTTTAGAAAAAGTCAATGTGTCTAATTTGGGGGGTTAAGATTAATAAAGTATTTGCTTTGGCAAAAATCACACGCTGGATCAAACCAAGCGCTGAAGTCACTTGTGCTTGCCCCAAGTCCCACGTAATTAGGCCCCCAGAGCACAGGCTTAGTATGTTGCAGCATTCCATGCGTCCGGCTGGATCCAGAGGAGCAATCAGCACCCTCCTTTCCTCGGAGCAACCAGGAACAACAAGCAGGCTGGCCTAGAAACACACTGGAGTCAAGAGTTCACATCCAGCTGTGCGTGTGTGTGTCTGTGTGTGCACACGTGCCCGACTGACAGAGCTTAAGGCCTGGACAATGATCTAGCTGTAGAGAGTAGGGATAAGCAGGTGAAGCTGCAGCAAAGCGTCCCTCCCAGGAAACAGAGGGAACTGGGAATCGGAGAAATGAGCAGCCTGCACCTCTTGCAAAGTGCTTAAGCACTACCCTGGGGAGCCCACAGACCCCCACACTAGGGGAGAAGGGACATAGGTGCAAGTAGAAAGGCACTAAGCATGTTAAAAAAAAAAATTCCTATGTTATGACCACTTCTCTTCTCAGTAAATGGCATTTTTGGATTCCTTTAACTTTGATAAGCTACCATTTTAGAATAAGAATTTGCAACCACTTGGGAACTGCAACATAAACGTTAGGTATATGTGAGGAGCAGCATGAAATTATGTATTTTCTTCAACCTCATCCCCACTAAATATAAATTGCATGCTGTGAGTAACTCATGTAATCCTCATAACAACGCTAGGAAAAGTTTATCTCCATTTTACAGATGCAGAAACTGAGATCCAGAGAGGCAAAGCCATCTTTCCACAGCAGGTAACTGCCAAAGCCAGGATTCAAACCCAAGCTGTCTGGCTCCAGACTCAGCACTCTGCAGCCTCTCCCATCAAAGGAAACCCAGAACCAATTTGTTCTGCAAAGTTTACAACATGCTTAAAGAACCTGGTGAAAAATACAAAAATCAGCAGGGCGCCTGTAGTCCCAGCTACTCAGGAGGCTAAGGTGGGAGGATCATTTGAGCGCAGGACAGGGAGTTCGTAGCGAACCAAGATCACACCACTGCACTCCTGCCTGGGCAACAGAGTGAGATCCCATCTCAAAAAAAGAAAAAAAAAAGGCCTGGCAAATGCTGGGTGTCTGCGTAGCAAAGTGGAAAACTACTGCTCTGTCCTCCCAACTCCTCTTAAATACAGTCAGCTAAAAGTTGTAGTTTGAAGAACTAAAGAGAACTTATACCCAAACCAGGTGAATGAAAGTTAACTTGCCAAGCGCGGTGGCTCACACCTGTAATCCCAGCACTTTGGGAGGCCAAGGCAGGTGGATCACCTGAGGTCAGGAGTTCAAGACCAGCCTGGCCAACATGGTAAAACCCCATCTCTACTAAAAATACACACATTCACTGGGCATGGTGGTGCACACCTGTAATCCCAGCTACTCAGGAGGCTGAGGCAGGAGAATTGCTTGAGCCCTGGAGGCGGAGGTTGCAGTGAGCCAAGATCATGCCACTGCACTCCAGCCTGGGTAACAGACGGAGACTCCATCTCCAAAAAAAAAAAAAAAAAAAAAGTTAACTTAAAAGTTGGTGATTAGGAATACTCACAAAATAGTGGTGCCATTTCTGCACCATAAAACGCCTAGCCACTAGCCTGGGCAACATGGCAAAACCCCATCTCTACTAAAAATACAAAAAATTAGCCAGGCGTGGTATTGCGCACGTGTAATCGTGGCTACTCAGGAGACTGAAGCAGGAGAATCGCTTGAACCCAGGAGGCAGAGGTTGCAGTGAGCCGAGATCGTGCCACTACACACTCTAGTCTGAGTGAGAGAGCAAGACTCTGTCTCAAAAAAAAAAAAAAAAAAAAAGGTCCATCCATCATTTATTACATGCCCCCAAAATTTGAGGACTCCATGCGCCAGTCAGCTGATCTCTAAAGAGGAGCCAGCAAAAAGCAGAAAAGCAGCCAAAGCAGCCACATACTAAACTACTTACACACCCCCTTGATGTCTCTGTCCCCTAACTTTACACATAATTCTAACAAACATGGTTCCCTGGTTTCCTAGGACTACAGAAATCAGAAGCAGCAAATCACAATTGCTGAAGGAGAAGCATTAGAGAAGGGGGAACAACTCAGGTGCCACGTCAGCCAACAGGGAGATGGAAGAGTGCCTTCTGGGCGTTGGCCTTATGCACCGCACAACTCTAGGAGGTGCCGTTCACATCTGTGCTCATCCTAGATTCACATTATGACCGATGAGCAGAAAATAGAATTCAGGTATCTTCAGGAAGGGACAGCTCTTCCAAATTCAAACAAAGAGGCTCTTTGAGTTGAACTGGGAAATGTTTTCTGCATTTAAAAAAAAATTATTTATTTATTTATTTATTTTTGTAGAGACAGGTCTCGCTGTGTCACCCAGGCTGGAATGCAGTGGCACTACCACAGCTCACTGCAGCCTCAACCTCCAGGGCTCAAGTGATCCTATCACCTCAGCCTCCCAAGTGGCTAAGACTACAGATGTGCACCACCATACCTGGCTAATTTTTTTAAAAAAAATTTGTTGTAGGAACAGTCTCGCTATGTCGCCCAAGCTGGTCTTAAACTCCTGGCCTCAAGCGATCATCCCACCTCAGCCTCCTAAAGCTGGTATTATAGGTGTAAGCCACCGCACCCAGCTGAAAAATGTTAAATAGATTGAAACACCAACCCTGCCCGGAAGGAGGTTACAATCTAATGGGGAGTTGGCTCCAAGTCAGCAAGCAAAGATTAAATCATTGGACTGCCTCCCTCTTCTGAAACAGTAAGTTTCTTTTCAAAGGGGTGGGGTTTTTACTTTTTTTGTGTGATGAGGCTTGAGGACAAGCCCTCCACAACAACAGACTGCCTGAGCTGTTGAACCTGGACAGGTGGCAGCTTCCAGAGACTTGGATCATCTTCTGTAAAGAGGCACTAGAACAGCAGATGCCACCTGCAAGTCACATCCCACTCTGCCATTCTGGGCTCTGATCTGGCTTACCAGACTTGATCAATTCCCTTCCAGACATTTTACTGCACAATACCAAGTACCATAGAATTAATCATGCAAGGCACCATTTGCAAAGAGGTAACAGCATTCCAGTGTGAGATGCCAGGGATGTTTCCTTCCTCTCATCCCAGTTCTGTCTGCCGAAGCTCGTGAGCAGGGCACCCTAACATCCCACTTATGGGTGATGGCACCTTCGACTGTGATCTTTGCTTATATACAATAGGGAGGAGCAAGGAAACCCCATCTTGGTATAAGGGAAAGTGAGGAATATAAATAAGGAGCTGGGGGAGGAGGAGTCCCCCATTTATCCTTCCTGTTTTTCTTTCCCTTCTCCCTCCCCCAATCAGTCATCACTAGGTTAGTTACCAGAGGGCAAGGGAGGTTGGCAGGAGTTGAGAGAAGAAGGTCTGTAATAGGAAGAGATAGAAGATCCCCTGTTTACCCTCCAACAAGTAGGGAAGAAATTCACACATGAAAGGCCCACCATATAACTTCCACACCTTTGCAAAAGGACAATTAAAACAGCCTTGCAAAAGTAAACTAACTATTGCTTGAGCCCAAGAGTTCGAGACTAGCCTGGGCAACACACTGAGACTTCATCTCTAGAAAACATAAACAAAATTAGCTGGGCATGGTGGTGCACGCCTGTGGTCCCAGCTACTTGGGAGGCTGAGGTGGGAGGATCGTTTGAGCCTAGGAGGTCGAGGCTAAAGTGAGCCAAGATCATACCACTGCACTTTAGCCTGGGTGACAGAATGAGACTGTCTTAAAAAAAAAAAAAAAAGAAAGAAAGAAAGAAGAAAAGAAAGAAAATTAACTCATGCTATCTGAGCACATAGTAAGAATTATAGTTTTCTATAGCATCTTCTTGCAGGGAACATATAGGGAATAAGTTTACTTGGAATATTCAAAACTATTCTGCCCCCATCCCATTGCTGTTTCAGAGCTTTCCCTTCCAAAAACAAGGTTGGTATGGCAACCAATGCCCCAGTCACCGTGGTCCCTAACCACATCCGCCGGGGCTTGGCATGCTGAGACGTGTGCCAACTCTGTTGTCTGTAGGGCACTCCTGGCCACAGTACACAGCAAGCTATAATCAAGTCAGAAACCACCACATTCGTATAGAACTTGGCTCAACATAAATATTCATTAAATGTGAAAACTTACAGTGATGCAATGTTGAGACTGCAAATTTAAACACAAGAGTCAGGAAATGCAAAAATTACCACTGCCACTGGAACTTGAAATCACCCACCCGGCACATTTAATACCACAAGTGTGTTTATATGTGTCCTAGAGATTTAAGCCTAATAACACCAAAACTTCAAAACTATAATCTCTTCATCTAATTCCTAGGATGAGGGTGACATTTATTGATGGGCATTAGAGCATTTCTGGAGTGAACATGCCATGAAAAGGCAGCCTGAAAACCCTCTAGCACAAGTGAAATACAACATATCATAGATTCTGGAATATTCCTGAAAGTCCCAATGCCCATGTAATCACCACTGTCCCACAAAAACAGTTAAAAAAAAAAAAAAAAAAAAAAAACCTCAGCATGTCAACTTATACAGAACTAAGCAATAATTCAATAATTTCCCAAATGCTTACAGTCAGCCCCATAAAGACTAGAAAATCAAACGTTTGCTAAATTGAAATCTAAAATTCTCTCACATGTAGCCTGTTAAGTCTCTTTAGAAATACTACTACAGTCCTTTTAAATTCTGCTTCCCACACAGCGCTTAAACACAGGATCAAGGCCCATGCCAGAGCTTCCAAAGGGAAAAAAATATAGGGGGAAGCAATATGGCACAAATGTAAGTAAAGACTCATATACATTTGTTTCTGATGGGTCATTCTGAAGCTACATAGAACTTCTACTACGCCTCCAAAAGTCCCGGTGTTTTAAGTGACACCAAAATATTATATTTTACATATTTAAATAAAACACATCCCCAAAAGTCTACAGTCAGGCTGTGATATTCTCTTCTCCAGCATGTTCTGAACAATGTTCCCAGGGCAGGCACACGCCAGACTGGAAGGAGCCAGAGGGTGTCACCTCCTACTGTCTCCTTTCTCCAGACCTCCAGGAAGCACAGGCAAGGTGAAATTATTTTGAGAGTCTGGACTATCCCAACTATTTGGAATAATCAGGACACACCATGTCTGAAAGCTGCTTGCAAATAGTTGCGACAATCACAGAAAATTCTCCCTCAAAAAAACAAGTCTTGGCTGGGCACAGTGGCTCACGCCTGTAATCCCAGCACTTTGGGAGGCCGAGGTGCATAGATCACCCGAGCTTAGGAGTCCAAGAGCAGCCTGGGTAACACAGCAAAACCCCCTCTCTACGAAAAATACAAAAAATTAGCCAGGCGTGGTGGTGTGTGCCTGTGGTCCCAGCCAGCTACTCAGGAGGCTCAGGTGGGAGGATCGTTTGAGACTAGGAGGCGGAGGTTGCAGTGAGATGAGATCGTGCCACTGCACTCCAACCTGGGTGACAGAGTGAGACCCCACCTAAAAAAAGAGAAAAAAAGCCAAGCCTTTTTTTCTGCAGGCCACATTAACACCCCTTTCACATCCCTCTCACTATGCTATCCCAAAGTAGTGTGATCTAGGAGAATTCCGGTTCGGTAAATAATTTACATGTTTTACATCCAAGACAATAGGGAGATGGAGTGCTCTGATTCAAAGGAACACACTGGTGGAACCCAGGAAAAAGCTTCATGGGAAGGACTGAAAGTTTGGCTGCAGATGGGAGGAGCTAGGACAGGAAAAAGACAGTGGAAAGCAAAGACGGGAGTTGAAAATGTGGAGGTGAAGACACGTATTACAGCAGGCAATCCAAAAGGAAAGGCACAGGCCAGGTGCGGTGGCTCACGCCAGTAATCCCAGCACTTTGGGAGTTGAGGCAGGTGGATTGCTTGAGCTCAGGAGTTCAAGACTAGCCTGGGCAACATGGTGAAACCATGTCTCTACTAAAAATACAAAAATTAGCAGGGCGTGGTGGCGCATTTCTGTGGTCCCAGCTACTCAAGAGGCTAAGGCAGGAGGGCTGCTTAAGCCCGTGAGGCAGAGTTTGCAGTGAACGGAGATCACGTCACTGTACTCCAGCCTGGGTGGGTGACAGAGTGAGATTCTGTCTCCCCGATCCCCCTAAAAAAGAAAGAAAAGCACTGAGAGAGGAAAGCCCAGGACCCACTCAGGAACAAGGACAGCAACACACAGGCCCACGCCCGGAGGCAACAATGAGAGACTGGGGCAGCTAGGTCACCTCTTCACACAGCTCAGTAGTAAGCAACAGGACGCCACGAAAGATTTTGATCAAGAGACTGATGTGACCAAACACTACTTTAGAAGGATGAATCTGAAGGGAAGGGAAGAACTGATGGGAAGAAAGAGAATGTGAGAGCCGACTGCAGTGGCACATGCCTGCATAGTCCCAGCTACTCGGAAGGCTGAGACGGAAGGATCGCTTGAGCCCAAGAGTTCAAGTCCAGTCTAGGCAACATAGTGAGACTTGGTCTCTTTTAAAAACAAAGAAAAAGAAAAACCAAAAGAGAGAGAATGAGAGACAGGGAAACAGCTTGGGCAGCATCAGGCCTGAAGAGGGAAGTCAGCAAGAGGCAGAGCAAGCCAAGCATTGTCTTGAAGATACCACCATTTCCCTTCAACTCAGCCACAAGCTACCTTTATTTAAATTTTGAAATAGCTTTGCAAGTCAAGCTTGCAACATTCTTTACATGCCATTAGCTGTCTGCTCACCACCTACTCCAAGACTGATGTACTTTCTGAAAAGATGCCAAGTCTCCAGGTACCCAGCGATATTCCAGAAATCCCATAAAGGTGCTAAACACACAATGTCAAATGCATTTAAAGAAAAGTATACAAATTAGGTACAAAGAAAAGCATTCTCAGGCCGGGCACAGTGGCTCACGCCTGTAATCCCAACACTTTGGGAGGCTGAGGCAGACAGATCACTTGAGGTCAGGAGTTTGAGACCAGCCTGGCCAACATGGCGAAACCCTGTCTCTACTAAAAATATAGGGGCCAGGCGTGGTGGCTCACACCTGTAAGCCCAGCACTTTGGGAGGCCGAGGCGGGCGGATCACGAGGTCAAGAGATCGAGACCATCCTGGCCAACATGGTGAAACCCTGTCTCTACTAAAAATACAAAAATTAGCCAGGCGTGGTGGCACACGCCTGTAGTCCCAGCTACTCGGGAGGCTGAGGCAGGAGAATCGCTTGAACCCGGGAGGCGGAGGTTGCAGTGAGCCAAGATCGCGCCACTGCACTCCAGCCTGGCCGACAGAGCGAGACTCCGTCTCAAAAAGATAAAAATAAAAATAAATAAAAATAAAAATTAGCCGGGCGTGATGGTGGACGCCTGTAATCCCACCTACTCGGGAGGCTGAAGCAGGAGAATCGCTTGAACCCAGGATGGGGAGGTTGCAGTGAGCCAAGATCACTCCACTGCACTCCAGCCTGGCCGACAGAGCAAGACTCCGCCTCAGACCACCTGAACAGCAGACAGCCTTCTGGGGCAGAATCCAGAAAAGGCACTCCCAAATGAGAGGATGAACTAAGATACTGTAAGTGAAAGTACACCAGGAACCCTAAAGCAACAGGCACATGGAAGATTTTCTGGAATTCAACCATCGCAGCAGAATGCCATTCTAGAAAGACCACCCCTCCCCCGAGAACCCCAAGTTCTGAGTTCTAATCCCAGCTCTTAAGACCAAAGGCTAGATGCCCTTGCCCACAGTTCCCTCACTGCAAAAGGAGAGCTAAGTCACAGCATTTTCTTTTTTTTTGAGACGGAGTCTCGCTCTGTCGCCCAGGCTGGAGTGCAGTGGCGCAATCTCGGCTCACTGTAAGCTCCGCCACCCAGGTTCATGCCATTCTCCTGCCTCAGCCTCCCGAGTAGCTGGGACTACAGGCACCCGCCACTGCGCCTGGCTAATTTTTTGTATTTTTAGTAGAGACGGGGTTTCATCGTGGTCTCGATCTCCTGACCTCGTGATCCACCCGCCTCAGCCTCCCAAAGTGCTGGGATTACAGGCGTGAGCCACCGTGCCCGGCCGGAGTCACAGCATTTTCAAGGTGCCCTTCAGCACAAACAATTAAGTCTCAGAGTTGAGAAACCATGGAGCCAAAAAGAGAGAAGGAGCAAAGATCCTGAAGGCACAGGCCAATGGCTCCAGACTTCAGCCTTCAACACCTACACCAAAGCAAAAAGAGCCCTCTGGTCACATCAAGGGTAGCTGGGCCTTCCTCAGTAGCATAACTTGAGACTCATGGGGTCCACTGATGGACATCTCACACTCAGGTTGGTTGGGGAAGGAGAGAAAAGAGACTTGCCAAGCACAAGTTAAAAGCTTTCAACTTTGGAACTTCCAGAGACAGAAAGGATGGCCAGCTACAGTGTCTACAGGGCCAGGCATCTGTAAATGGAACTGTCAGTGAGGGAAGTAAGCTGGGCAATGCGATAAGGACTTGTGACTGGAGGGCCTGTGTACCTGCTGAAGGGGGGCAGCTGCCACTCCACTATGGCAGGCTATTGCCTCATGGGACTGTGGACCCACTGATGCCAGATCTTTTAATTTTTTTTTTAGAAGAGCCCATTTTTATGTACACTTTCTAGATTTTTAACAGCGATCGAACAAAATACCTGGAAGCTGTTTTCAGCCTATATGCTTGCTGCTTAAATGCACCCCTGAGAGTCTGGTGCTTGGGCTCAACTTGCATCTCTGCCCACCACCAACTGACAGTGTCACTATGAATTCAAGGACAGATTCATTCGGCCTTTCTGAATCCAGCCTGTTCAGAAGCAGAAAGCCTGCTCGACAGGAAAGAGGAAGGGCAGAAACCAGCAACTGAAGCAGCACCCTCCTGGGCAACAATCTGCTGCCACAGGGTGTGACGACAGCACAGCGGTCCCCACCGTGAGGCCTCTGAGCATGGCCATCTGCCTGGACAGACGCCGTGTTCCTGCCCAGAATACAAGGGCAACCTGCTGCTCCTGAATCATGCTCTGATACACCTACAAGGGAGGCACCCAGATGCCACGCCAGGTACCTTCCCTTCAGTGCAGACATTAGTCATAATTCAGATCCTTATGGCAGACAAAAAAAAAAAAAAAGCCAGTATTTTACTATTTACTAAATGATAGGAATATATAGACTTTCACTTTTACGACATTTTGTATTTTTGAGAAACATACAGTGGGTCACAGTGGCTCACGCCTATAGTCTCAGCACTTTGGGAGACCAAGGTGGGTGGATCACTTGAGCCCTGGAGTTTGAGACCAACCTTGGCAATATGGCAAAAACCCATCTCTACAAAAAAAAAAAAAAATTAGCCAGGCATGGTGGTGCATGCCTGTAGTCCCAGTTACTTGGGAGGCTGAGGCGGAAGGATCACTTGTGAGCCTGAGATTTCAAGCTGCAGTGAGCCAAGAAAGATTGCGCCACTGCACTCCAGCCTGGGCAACAGAGCAAAATATACTATCTGTTGCGAGCAGGGCTATTGTGTAGAAACATACATGGCGACCTGGTAGGGGTGTATAAACTAGACCACTCCTGTAGAGCAATCTAAAAATATGTAGCAAAAGCCTCAAAAATGTTTATATCACTTAACTCAGTGAACCTAATTCTAGAAATCTTATGAAAATAACCAAGGCAGGCCGGGCACAGTGGCTCACGCCTATAATCCCAGCACTTTGGGAGGCCAAGGCGGGTGAATTGCTTGAGCTCCCAAGTTCAAGACCAGCCTGAGCAACATGGGGAAACCCCATCTCTACAGAAAATACAAACATTAGCTGGATGTGGTGATGTGCACCTGTAGTCCCAGCTACTCGGGAGACTGAGGTGGGAGGATGGCTTGAGCCCAGGAGGCAGAGGTTGCAGGGAGCCAAGATCACGCCACTGCACTCCAGCCTGGGCGATAGAGCCAGAACTTGTCTCGAAAAAAAAAAAAAAGAAAAAGAAAGAAAGAAAATTACCAATGCTGGCACGGTGGCTCACACTGGTAGCTGCAAGGCTCACTGCAGCCTCAAACTCTCGAATAAATCAGAAAAATAACATTTGAAAAGCACAAATTATACCACGGGTGCATAAAACCGATGTTTCTTCTCTATACGGTATCTACAGTAAACATTCAATAAATGTTTGCTGACAAGATAGCAAAGCCAAATTAACTCAAGTAGAAAATTAAGTTATAATAAAATTCTTACAGTGCTGGATGGGAACTTACACACACCTAATTGAGTACTACCCCACTCTTAATTTTATTTTTTATTTTTTTATTTTTTTTGAGACAGAGTCTCGCTCAGTCGCTCAGGCTGGAGTGCAGTGGTGTGATCTCGGCTCACTGCAAGCTCCACCTGCCGGGTTCACACCATTCTCCTGCCTCAGCCTCCCGAGTAGCTGGGACTACAGGCGCCCGCCACCACGCCTGGCTAATTTTTTGTATCTTTAGTAGAGACGGGGTTTCACTGTGTTAGTCAGGGTGGTCTCGATCTCCTGACCTCGTGATCTGCCCGCCTCAGCCTCCCAAAGTGCTGGGATTACAGGCATGAGCCACCGCGCCGGCTCTTTTATTTTTTAAATGCAGGCACTTCTGCACCAGGAGGCCAGAAGTCCCCATTCTAACATACGTTTTCCCATCAAAATTCTAGGATCAAACTTCGTTTTCACAGAATCAAACTCTATACTGAGTTTCTAAACAACTATATTACACTGGCTGCTGGGGAGAGGAGGAAATTAATATCAAGTCTTACAACACATCTTAAGGGCAATAAAAATAAAGTGCTCTCCTTTGAACCACAATGGGCCAGCTGACCTTATTCTTTTGACACTATCATGAGTAAACAGAGCCACTGAAAGTCAGATTTTAAAACATCTCATTCAAGCTACAAATAGAACAAAGAACCTCTACTCTCTACCTCCTTCCTATTCCGTTAGAAAGGTATAAAGGCACCTCTCTTCAAAGAGGTTATCAGCTTTAACCTCAAAGGTAGGTAAAAATGAGTTGGAAAAGGCCAGAATGCTCATACAGTGACAGACAGGTCTAAACTTAGCACCAGGGCCCGATTCCCTCCCCCAGGTGTTCTTCAGTATCCTATAGGCTGTTTCCTACCAGATAGGACATGCCCCACTGTACTGTAAGGTAACCGTTCGTGTGCTGTCTGGACACCTACACTCAGCTGCCTGCAGGCAGGGACCAAGTCTTACTCTTGTGTTCATTGCCTTGCCCCACAAAGGATCTGATGGACGGGGGGCACCACTGAATGTTTGCCCACTGAGGCATGTAGCACTCGTGGTAAGTTTTAACAACCAAGAGGATTCAATGAGCCTGTGCAAAGTAAGAAAGGTCACAAACATGGGACGTGACCTCTTTGGAGAAAGACATGCAGACTCCCAAATTGCTATAAAAGTCAGCCACAGGAAGGAGGTGTGTCTCACACCAGAAATCCCTTTAAATGCCAGAAAACTACAGCCATTCCAGCTTGCCCAATAGCTGAAAACAACAGAAGTGCCATCGAGTGACAGTTATATATGTCAAGTCACTGGTCCCTCTTTGTGAACCTGGTAGATTGGCTCTTTATGGAAAAAACTAAGTTAGAATGAGACTTTTGTGATTTAAAAAAAGAAGAGGAAAAGAAAGGAAGGAAATACATCTTTGTGAGGATAGGGGATTTTCTCAGTTGACGTTATAGACTTATTTCTTGGTCAATCGTTTTGGGTTTAAACTCAACTCTAAATTCCACATCAGTTCCCATAACCTCATCATAAGAAAGTGTGAAGTGAAGCGGGCTTGTGAAAACAGAAATGGCTTAGAATCAGACAGACCAGGATTTGAACCTCAGCTGCACTAATGACTTGCTCAGTGACTTTGACAAGTGACTTTACCTCTCTGGCACATGCCATCTACCTTGTCTGTTAAATGTGAGCAAAGCACTGTGCCCAGTGCCTGGCACACAATAAGCACTTGATCATTAGTAGCTATTTTTAAAAGCTCTGACAGGGAGGAAGACTGAGAGACTCAAAATCTAAATTAATTAGAGAAGAAAAGCAACCACTTAAACCCAATATACAATTTAAGAATGCCTGGCTTTCCTCAATTATACATCTGATCATAAAGCATGCCCTGCATCTGGTGTCCCCTGTCACACTCAGCCAGGCTACAGCCGGGGGTAACAGAAGGGCTCCAAGCCTGGGAGTCAGGGGACCCAAATATTAATCCTGGGTCATCTCTACCTTATGTGGACTTCAGCAAAGCATTTCTCTGGATTTCAGTCTCCTTTCTAACACATTAAAGGACTGAATCTGGTTCTTTTGATTATGAAGATTTACTTAAATGTCACAAATTAGAAATCCAAACTCTCCAGACTTGGGAAAATACCATCAAGAAGCAAAGTTCTGACCAGATATGGTGGCTCTCACCTGTAATCCCAGAGCACTGGGAGGCCAAGGCAGGAGGATCACTTGAGGCCAGGAGTGCAAGACCGGCCTAGGCAACATAACGAGACCCTATACCTACAAAAAATAAAAAATTAGCTCGGTATGGTGGCATACACCTGTAATTCTAGCAACTGGGGAAGCTGAGGCCTGAGAACTGCCTGAGCCCAGGAGTCCAAGAGTACACTGAGCCATGATCTTACCACTGTGCTCTAGCCTGGGCAACATGGTGAGACCCTGACAAAAAAAAAAAGAGAGAGAGAGAGAAAGCAAGCAAGCAGCAAAGTTTTTCACATGGCATATATTTAGGTTAACGATGATACTGAATGCCAATCCCTTATTGTTACTCCCAGGGACACTGGAAATTCAAGATTCTTTCCTTCCATAACCTATCCACTTTAAGGCTTTGTCAATACTCAGTTTCATCAGGAAAAGAACACCTTCAGACTTTTCTTATGCCAGGTACCCTGCCTTGGAATATAAACACCCCACACAGATTTCTTTTTATTTTTTTTATTTTGAGACGGAGTCTTGCTCTGTCGCTCAGGCTGGAGTGCAGTGGCGTGATCTCGGCTTACTGTAACCTCCACCTCCTGGGTTCACGCCATTCTCCTGCCTCAGTCTCCCCAGTAGCTGGGACTACAGGCCCCCGCCACCACGCCCGGCTAATTTTTTATATTTTTGGTAGAGACAGGGTTTCACCGTGTCAGCCAGGATTGTCTCGATCTCCTGACCTTGTGATCTGCCCGCCTCGGCTTCCCAAAGTGTTGGGATTACAGGCGTGAGCCACCACACCGGGCCAGATCACTTTCATACAACCCAGTATTGTAATACCAGTGGGTCTATGGGAACCAGAGAGAGAGCTATCCTTTCCATCCAAGCAAGTTTCTGGAAATAACAATCAAAAAGGAAGGATAATCCCAGAATTTATTAGCCAAGCCAAAGCAAGTTGTTCTCATCAATTAAAGCATAAATAATCCATAAAACCCACTGCCTGCCTGATGTCCACTCTCCATCATTTATTCATTCAATACTGAGTGCCTCATGCATAGCAGGCAGTGGGAACCCAGGGGGTCGATCCAGAAATGAGCAAAAACAGACCCCATGGGGTCCAGGTCCACAAGGGAAGGTGTGAGAAGCTACTCTTCAGGCATTTCAACAGCGACAGGTGCTCCGTTTCATTTTTCAATGAACTATGAAACGGAACTATACTCTGCTTTCCCACATCCTGCATTCAGAGTGTCAAGTTCTTACACTTTGCCATGTAAATGCAGAAAAGTCTTTGAGTGACTATATTCTCTCTTCTCCCAAGGATGCTGCGCAGTGCACAGGAGGGAAGTTAATTCATTATAGACAATGGATGCCTCAGGGCCTAAGGGCTCAGTTCGGTGGAGAAACCCATTTGGTAAGAATTATCATTTATCCATGCATGTGTCTGTCTCCATAGGAGACTGAACTCCAGAAGACAACAGCAATACAGTGTCTGGTACAGAATAGGGCTGTGATAGATGTCTACAAAATAAATATGTTCAATGGAGGCACCCAGACCTGTAGACTTCCGTACAACTCTTGTCAGCCTGAACCCCACTCAAACTCTTGGTAATGGATTATTCAATGCTCTACTAGATTAGAGTTTCCCCTTTTCCTTGTGGGTATAGAGGGGACACATCACAGAACCCTGGAAGAGGCAAAGTTGTAACTGCCCATAGACAAGAATACGCATACACTTGCAGGAGTTCATGGACTATCTCTGAAAGTCTGTGACCCTCAGGTTAAGAACCCCTATATTATATGTTGTTCAAAATTAGACTTGAATTAATGTCAAAATCCTAACCAGCCAAGTTCTGTTCACTTGGCAAAAACAAGAACAAGCAACCCAGGCAGACCTGGGTTTCTTTTTTTTTTGAGACGGGGTCTCGCTCTGTCACCCAAGCCGGAGTGCAGTGGTGTGATCTCAGCTCACTGCAACCTCCGCCTCCCGGATTCAAGCAATTCTCCTGCCTCAGCCTCCTGAGTAGCTGGGATTACAGGCATGTGCCACCACACCTGGCTAATTTTTTTTGTATTTTTTTTGTATGGTTTCACCATATTGGCCAGGCTGGTCTCGAACTCCTGACCTTGTGATCCACCCGCCTCGACCTCCCAAAGTGCTGGGATTACAGGCGTGAGCCACCGCGCCCGGCCAGACCTGGGTTTCAATCCAGGTTTGTCATCTGCTAGCCATGTGAAGTTAGAGAACTCAACTTGCTTCTCTCAGCCTCAGTTTTTCTCCTCTGTAAAATGGATTAACAATAGTTGCTAATTGCATGTTAGTGTCAGGATGAGAAGAACCAAAACATGACATGCTTGGCAGTGCTCTGTATAAATAAGAGGAAACCATCACTACTTTCCCTTTAATCTACAGCTCTACACTGAACTCCAATTTCATTCCTATTCAGAATTGTACTAGTAACTCCCATGAGATCTCAGGGAACAAAACAGAAAATAAGGGGCTCTAAGAATGTATAACATCACAAAATACAGCCCCAGTTTTCCCCCTGAATCAAATGCTTGGTTTTAACCTATGAAGGCCCATCTGAGAAGACAGTAGGCAATCCCTTTCTGTCTAAATCCAGGTCAGCTGTCAGCACACAATTGTTCTATTAGACCAAGTCAATTTTTAGAGGCAGGCCTGTTAAGTTAACTTAAAATGGAGATGAAAAGAAAGTGTTTGATCAAATGCTAAACTGCAGAAGCACACTGACAGGGAAACAAAGCAGAGGAATTAGTTTCCTAAAATTACTCTCTGTGATACCTTTACTTAACATCGGATATTTAAGGACCTTGATCAGCCCTTTTAACCCACCACCCAGCTCTCTACCCACCCCTAATAGCTAAAGGAACTGACTTAGTTCTTAAATGTCCTCAGCTTCTCTCTGTTTTCAAGTCCATTCAGCATTTAACCTAGGACCCAGAAAGGCTGAATTTAAAGTTACACAGAACCTGTCATTCAGATTCCTTCTACAAATGAATTTCTCAAGCTTTTCTAAATATTTGACTTCAAGCAAAAAAAAAATGCATTTCGACTTTAAAACAATCTTTCATCTCTAGCAATGCAAATTTTCTTTGTTTAACCAATCCACATACCACTAGCCGGTGTTTAATCGGGCCTTTATTTAACATCACCAACCATGTGAGTTGCACAGCCAAGTCTGAAAGTTTCAGATAATGATCTCATTAACAGCAACAAATTGGTTCAAAGATGAAATATGTATCAATATATCTAAGAACCCTTTAAAGTCCCACACTTCAGAACTACAGGAGAAGTGTAATTAATTTCTCCAGCATTCAAACTGTATGCCTGACACTCTTACAAGCAAACAGGCTTTAATACTGCATAAATACATAAGATAATAAAAGTAACTAATAGCATTTCATACCCACAAATTGTTTTCACCACAACTTTCACAGATGGAGACATTAAAAAAAAAATTCTTCATTCAGATTACATTGGTGACCTTGGGATAGTTATTTAAGCCTAAAACGCAAAGGAGAAGAACCAAGATTCCTGATGACGAATCCTAAGGTTTGAATTACTACCTCCCTCCCTCTTGCACTCTCTCTCTCTCTCTGACACTGACAAACTGACACAATTCTTAACTAGGCTTCCCCTACCCTAACCCATGGAAATGACTGAACAGGTACTCTAGTTAGAATTATCTAGGCAAACCAGACTATGATAAGGTATCTACTATACAAATATATGTATACACACACACACACACACACACACACACACACACACTCTCTCTCTCTCTCTTCGTTGGCATATAATAAGGAGGGGGGTTAAAAATCAGTAATACAAACGAATTCCTTATCTTAGAATTCTTAAAGGTGACACTCCTAAACAGGTTTTTTCTCCCCTAAACCATGAATAAATAAAACTGCTACAGAACCCCAGTGGAAATAACAAAAGCAATGCTATAGTGCTACTATTTAGCTTTAGTTATAGGAAAATGAACTCTGCTCTGAGACGATAAAACACTAAGCAGCAAATCACAGTTTTTGTTTGTTTGTTTGTTTTTGAGAGAGTGTCTCGCTCTGTTGTCCAGGCTGGAGTACAGTGGTGTAATCATGGCTCACTGCAACCTCAGCCTCCCAGGCTCAAGCAATCCTCCCACCTCAGCCTCCCAAATAGCTGGGACTACAGGTGCACACCACCATACTGGGCTACTTTTTTTTTTTGTAGAGACCAGGTCTAACTGTGTTGCCCAGGCTGGTCTCGAACTCCTAGGCTCAAGCAATCCTCCTGCCTCAGCCTCCCAAAATGCTGAGACTACAGGCGTCAGTCACCATGCCTGGCTACTATTTTCTTTTAAGATAGTAAATAAAAGGAAGTTTTGAAAAGTTCAATGAGACTGTGTCACCAGGGCACAGTGAAAGCCTCAAAGAAAGACAAGAAGTTACAATGAGCAAGAGTTAAGATTCAAACTATTCTTGAAGACTGTGGATAAAATGTTTGGGAATCTTCAGCATAGCATCATCTCTAAAGCTTATAAAGGTTTTTCAAGATAGTAAACAAAAGGAGGTTTATTTAAAGACAGTAAATAAAAGGAGGTTTTGAAAAGTTCAGGTTACTTAGAAAACATGATTAATCCAAAGCTGGACAGCAATTTATTCCTTCTGCTTTCTCATTTCTCACCAAAAGAAAATGTTATATTCCCTCTCAGCGGCCCTAAAACATCATCAGCCTTCCTTACAAAAAACTTTTTCAGGGCTGCCAGACAAGGTCCACACCAATTCCTTCAATCAAACAGTATTTGCAGAACTCATAAAAGCATGCTAGCCTTTGTACACACACATCCCTGAAAGCCACACTGCACTCTGTCCGCAGAAACAGGGAGGTTCAACAAGTCAGCTACCACAATAAAGTTACTAAAGATACGAGGTGCACCATGAAATGACTATTCAGACAGCTCAGATAAACTCACCAACATTACTGCAGCTATAAGGGAATTAAGGACACCTATTAGTGATTGCTTAACAAGTAAACTTATTAAATACCATTTAAGTCACTTTACTTAGCAACTATTGACTTTTTTTTTTTTTTGGCTAGGCTAATGGACTACAAAAGAGTTAGATAAGCACTTCAAAAAGTTTCAGAAGAGAATAGATTCCTTCTGCCAAATTCACATATTATCTCTCTACTCACAAGGATAAAATAGTTACAAATGGTGTTTAAACTGCTAATTTTGTATTAAATGGTGAACCCAAGATTATCTCCAAAGCATAACACTCCTCATAATGGATAGCTCGCTCACCAGACAAACTACTGTTGAGAAAGAGTGACACGTTAAAACATTGCAGATAAAAACTGCAAACTTCAAAAGTCTCCTTCAAAAAGTCAAGTGCCACGCTAGAGCGTCTTTTTTTTTTTTTTTTTTTTTTTTAGAAGGCTGTAAATCAAACATTTCTAAAACCATCAGGACACAATGAAAGCCTCAAAGAAAGACAAGAAGTTGCCAAGGAGCAAGACTTAAATGTTTAGGAATCTTCAGCAAAGCATCATCTCTAAAACTTATAAAGATCATAATTACAACTTTTTTTAAGTCCAAAAGCATTAACATAGATAGTCAAAGGGCTCAATGAAGGAGTTTCCTCTTCTATTTACCCTACAGAAGTTTTCGGATGGGGATAAGAGCCCGGTAAGGCAATGCTGCTGATTAATCGCATGGGCCTGGGTACCTCCTCCAGCTTTGTAAGGGCACACCTCTACGGAGTCAAGCTGCACAGCTCTCCCTGTCCTATGAAGGCAGGGCTTTGAGTCTGCACCCAAGGAAGGAAAAGGACACCACGGAACAGGCTGTCTACGCTGCGGGCTGCTATGCAATCATTCCATGGAGTCCCCTTCTTTTCATTCATAACTCACCCAAGAGTAAAGCACAGAAGGCCCACAAAGCTTAGGCCCTGCAGACATCCGATCACCCCAAAGATTCAAAGACAAGCCAACCTTTACGAATCGCCCCCATCCGAGGCGCGCATATTAACTGCCATTATTAGTGCGCTGGCTGTCTAGTAACAAGTTGATAAAATCACGGCCAAGGAAGCGGGAAGACATCCACCCAGCTAACCATCCGCAGAAGCTTCAGTTGAGAGTCCCTCCTCCAAAGAGTAGGCACGGCTTAAAGGTCTCCCTAGCCAGTTTCCTTTGGAATGTAGATCTCTTTCATTTGGTCCAAGGTGGAGGTCCTGTCAGTGAGATACGCCATCTCCCCATTTGCAGGTCCTTCGCATCAGTCTTTGGCCGAGGGACGGGCAGGCGGTATCCCTCCCACCCTCTGTAATGTGAAGCATGCAGCGAGGGCTGCCTTCCATCGCCACTCCAGGGAACCCCCGATCCCCACTCCTCGACCAGCTCCGCCTCCTCCCCTGCCTGCTGCTGCTTGTCCAGAGCCCCGCAGAAGGGTCACCGGCGCCCAGGTGAGGCGGACGGCAGGTTCCGGGGAAGAACCCGACGTTGTGCAGCCCTTCAGACAAACCTGGCCGCACCCAAAAAGAACATGCATGGATGGAAAAGCAAAGCCTGCAACCTGAAACGAGCCACCCCATCCCTCATCACTTGTCTTTTCAAAGTTGGCATTCAACAGGTAGTTCCCGGGACTTCCACCTGAGGCAGACCTAAATACCCAACCGGCCAAGGGGGCTGCCCCAGCATGGGTGCCGGGCCCAGGATGCCCCTCCCGCCCCGGGGTTCACAGGAGCTCTAGCCCCCACGTGCGCTCGCCCCCCGCGGATGCGCCCCGGAGGCCGCGTCCCGCCCGCCTGCCCGCCCGCAGGGGAGGGATGCCGCCGGCCTCTCGGCCACCCCTCCCGCCCGCCCGCCAGTCAGGCAGCCCGCGGCGGGGTCGGCGGGCGCAGCCCCCGGAGCCATCTTGTGGCGGAGGCGGCGCGGGGCCCGGGCGGCGGGCAGCTACCTGCACGATCTCGCCCTCGGCGCTGAGCGTGGCCCCGGCCCGCGAGAAGCGGCCCGTGAGGCCGGTGGTGTAGGTGGTGTAATCGCCGCTTGGGCTCGACTCGAACAGCACCACCTCCACGAACGCCGTCTCCTTGGCCCGCGCCGCGCCGGGCCCCGCGGCCGCCAGCAGCAGCCCGAGCAGCAGCGGCAGCGGCGGCGGCGGCGGCAGGCGGCTGCACCGGAGGCCGCGGGGGCGGCGGCGCAGGCGGCGGCGGCGGCGGCCCGTGGCCCCTGGGCGCCCGCCCGAGCGCGGCCTCATGGTCCTGCGGCGGGAGGGCGCGGAGGGCGGGCGCGGCCGGGCATAGTCGCGGGCCGGCTGAGGACCGAACGCGGGCGGACGCCTCACAGCCCCATCACGGCGGCGGCGGCGGCGGCTTTGTGGGTCGCAGGCTCAGCTCGGCTCCCCCGGCCGTCGCGCCGCGGCCCTTTCATCTGCTCCACGTGAGGGGTTATCCCCGCCCCGGCAGCGTCGTGACCCGCTCTCCCCTCCCTCCCCGCCCTCGGCCTCCGCAGCCGCCGCCGTGGGGAGTGAGAAGGCGGGGCAGGCGCGCCTGCGGCGAGAGGCGGGTCCCAAAGGCCGAGAACGCCCCTCCCCTCCCCGCCCCTGTTTCTATCTGTGCTCCGCCCCTTTATCCTCGCTCCTCCCCATCATCCCAGCTCCGCCCCCCGCCCGCGGTCTGCGCTCCGCCCCGTCGTCCTCGCTCCGCCCCCGCCCGCCGTCTTGCTCCACCCCATTATTCTCGCTCCGCCCCCCGCCCGTCGTTTCTACTCCGCCCCTTCGTCCTCGCTCCGCCCCTTCGTCCGCGCTCCGCCCCCGCTGCGCTCCGCCCCCTACGGCAGACATTTCTCCTCGCGGTTGCTAGAGTTCGGCGGGAACCGGGACCGCAACCTGCTCCGGGCGATGGGCGTCCTCTCTGGAGGCGCCACGCGTCCTGGTCCGGTGCAGGAGTTAGGGCCATTTGGTCTGGAAAGGCCTCGTCCTTCCTGCTTCCCCCGCCCCAATTCACAGTTCCCAGGAAGCTTGATCGCCCGCTCTGGGCGCTCCATTCCCACCCCCACCTCCAGGATCGAACGGGGAAGGCCGGGATGGTCAGGGGCAGTTTGCAGCTTGGGTCGTGTCCAGTTCTTGCACAGGTGTCGCCTAGACAGTTTCTCTGTATGAAGTCTGCACTGAAGGAGTGGGGAAGACCTTGAGGATCTTCTGATGGAGTTCATCTTTCTGCAGCCCCGGAGACTGTAATTCAGACACCGCCCCCAAAAGAAGTCTGGAAACTTTGAGTCTCGCCACGTGCAGGCCAGAGGAGTCCAACACCATTATCACCCTCTATGCACAGACTGCTGGCTGCCAAACTAACATATCTAAGGCACGTGCTCAAGGGCTCAGAGGTTCCCAGTCACCCAGAAAATAAACTTTTAATTCCCTGCCCCTTTTTGGAACATGCCTTTTCCTTCCTCATCTAGTCCTCTGAGAATTGAACCCCTCCTTCAAAAGCCAGATCCAATTCCCACTTCCTCCGTGGAGTCTTCCTTCCCTGGCCAGAATAGCTTTGTTCAGATATTTGCAAATATTTGGTTAGGATGAATCTGCTTCTACTTGCTACCACACCCAAAATGTTAAAAAGACAAAAAGAAAGAAAGAAAACTCATTAAGAATTTTCTTGAGTAAACAACTTACCAAGGTTACATTTTAAAGCTGAAAAAAAAAATTTAACGTGCAACAGAAAACACACTTGAAAAAAATCCACAGATCTCTATTACCACATTTGGACCACCCAGAGCTTCCGCTCAGGAGGGAGGCACCTGGGAAAGCAGGACTCTGGAGGGAGTGGCTTTTTAGTTTCTCCAAAACCGGGCCTAACCAGTGCTGCCTGCAACTGGGCACCATTGGTCCTGACAATGACCCCTACAAGGTCTTATTTTTTTCATTTAGATATAGCGTCTCCCTCTGTCGCACAGGCTGGCGTGCGGTGGTGTGATCACAGCTCACTGTGCCCAAGTATCGAACTTCTGTGCCCAAGTATCCTCCCAGCTTAGCCTCCTGAGTAGCTGGGACTACAGGTGCCACACCCAGCCTCCATCCAGTTCTTAATTAAGGGGGAGGGCAAATCTCTATAGCTCATGGATGACACTTTGCGATATTTAAAATTCAAAGGCACACACCACCAACTGATAAATGGATAACCAAATGTGGTCTATCCCTGCAATGAGATATTATCCATCAAGAAATGAAATACTGGCTGGGCGCAGTGGCTCACGCCTGTAATCCCAGCACTTTGGGAGGCCGAGGCGGGTGGATCACGAGGTCAGGAGTTCGAGACCAGCCTAGCCAACATGGTGAAACCCCATCTCTACTAAAAAATACAAAAATTAGCCGGGTGTGGTGGCAGGTGCCTTAATCCCAGCTACTCGGGAGGCAGAGGCAGGAGAATCGTTTGAACCCGGGAGGCAGAGTTTGCAGCGTGCCGAGATCAAGCCATTGCACTCAAACCTGGGGGACAAGAGCGAGACTTCTCTCAAAAAAGAAAAGAAAAGAAATGAAATGAAATACTTGGCTGGGCATGGTGGCTCACGCCCGTAATCCCAGCACGTTGGGAGGCCAAGGCTGGTGGATCACCTGAGGTCAGGAGTTTGAGACCAGCCTGGCCAACATGGCGAAAACCCATCTCTACTAAAATTACAAAATTTAGCTGGGCATGGTGGCATGTGCCTGTAATCCCAGCTACTCAGGAGGCTGAGACAGGAGAATCCCTTGAACCCGGGAGGCAGAGGTTGCAGTGAGCTGAGATCGCACCACTGCACTCTAGCCTGGGCGACAGAGTGAGACTCCATCTCAAAAAAAAAAAAAAAAGGAAATGAAATATGAATACATGCTACAGCATGGATGAACCTTGAAAACATTATGCTAAGTGAAAGAAGCCAGACCCAAAAGCCCACATATTCTATGATTCCATTTATATGAAATGCCCAAAATAGGCAAATCTATAGGACAGAAAGTGGTTGCCAGGGGATAGGGGGAGGCAGGAATGGGTAGTGACTGCTAATGGGTTTCTTTGGAGGGTGATGAAAATAGTCTGGAATTAGATAATGGTGATGGTTGCACAACTCTGTAAATATACTAAAAACCACTAAATTGTACACTTTTAAAGGGTAAATGTTGTGGCATATGAATCTTTTTTTCTTTTAGAAACAGGGTCTCACTGTCAGGAGAGTGCAGTGGCGCCATCACGGCTCACTGCAGCCTCCACCTCCTGGGCTCAAGTGATCTTCCAGCCTCAGCCTCATGAGTAGCTGGGACTACAGGTACACACCACTACACCAAGCTAAATTTTTAATTTTTAATTTTTATTTGTAAAGACAGGGTTTTGCTACATTGCCCACATTGGAATCAAACTCCTGAGCCCAGGCAATTCTCCCGCCTGAGTCTCTCAAAGTGCTGGGATTAACAGGCATGAGCCACCACACCTGGCTGGCATGTGAATTATATCTCAAAATAGCTGCTAAAAATATTTCCATCTGGGCACGGTGGCTCACGCCTGTAATCCCAGCACTTTGGGAGGCTGAGGCAAGCAGATCACTCGGCAGCAGGAGTTCGAGACCAGCGTGGCCAACATGGTGAAACCCCGTTTCTACTAAAAATACAAAAACTATTCCGGTGTGGTGGTGCACACCTGTAGTCTCAGCTACTTGGGAGGCTGAGGCGGAGGTTGCAGTGAGCCGAGATTGTGCCACTGCAGTCCACCCTGGATGACAGAGCTAGACTCTGTCTCAAAAAAAAAAAAAAAATCCATCTTTAGTGGTATTTTCATGCAAAACACACACACACACACACACACACACACACACACACACAGGATACAGCATAAGGATATCCTCTGCTCTTTGAAGTCTTAGCGCACATTTCACACCCTCAACAGGGACTACCCTGGCAATGCTATTTTAAACTGCAACGTGCCCCCTGTCATCCACTCCTATCCTCCCTTGGCCTGCCTTCCCCTACCCCTGTGGCATTTATCACCTTCTAACATACTAAATAATTTGCATATTTATTTTTGTCTGTCCTCCACACCCCACATGCACACATACCAGAGAACAAGCTCTGTAATGAGAGATCTTTGTCTTGTTCAGCGACTTAGGCCGAGGCTGCCTGACCCAGAGTAGGCACTCAATAAATATTTGTTGCATGAATTAATAACTAAATGAATGAGTGATAACCTCATCAATTTGTATCCCTCCCATTTTGCAAACATTTGGGGCAGCTTGTTAACAGCTGCATTGGAGCATTGGGCTTCATGGGACCAAAATAAATTCTGAGTGTGGAGAAGAATGACCATCCTTTCCTCAAGAAATGCAATGCAAACCCACGTAAGGGTCAGAGAACAAATCAGTTTTGATTTTTTAAAGTCTGCTTAAAGAAAGATATGAGGCCGGGTACGATGGCTCATGCCTGTAATCCCAGCACTTTGGGAGGCCAAGGAGGGCGGATCACTTGAGGCCAGGAGTTCGAGACCAGCCTGGCCAACATGGCAAAACCCCATCTCTACTAAAAATACAAAAAAATTAGCCAGGTGAGGTGGCACATGCCTACAGTCCCAGCTGCTTGAGAGACTGAGACAGGAGAATCGCTTGAACCCAGGAGGCAGAAGTTGCAGTGAGCCGAGATCACGCCAGTGCACACCAGCCTGGGCAACAGAGTGAGACTCTATCTCAAAAAAAAAAAAAAAGAAAAAGAAAAAAAGAAAGAGAGAGAGAAAAAGAAAGATATGAAAGCTGGGCACTGTGGCATGTGCCTATAATCCCTGCTACTCAGGAGACTGAGGTAGGAGGATCCCTTGAGCACAGGTGTTCAAATCCAGCCTGGGCAATATGGCAAGACCCCATCTCTCTCTCTTTTTTTTTAAATTTTATTTTATTATTATTATACTTAAAGTTTTAGGGTACCATGTGCACAATGTGCAGGTTAGTTACATATGTATACATGTGCCATGCGGGTGTGCTGCACCCATTAACTCATGGTTAATGGGTATATCTCCTAATGCTATCCCTCCCCCCTCCCCCCACCCGACCCCATCTCTCAAAAAGAAAAAGGAAGAAGGGCCTGGGCAACATAAAGCGACCACCATCTCTACAAAAAAAAAAAAAAAAAAAAAAAAAAATTAGCCAGGCTTGGTGGTGGGCAGCTGTGGTTCCAACTACTTGTGAGGGTAAGGTGGGAGGATCTCTTGAACCCAGGAGGTGGAGGCTGCAGTGAGCTAAGATCGTGCCACTGCACTCCAGACTATGCAACAGAGCAAGACTGTGTCTCAGAGAGACAGAAAGAAAGAGAAACATAGCGTTAATAAAATATAGTTCAGCAACACAGAGGTAGCATGATTCATCTTTCAGCAGTGTGAAGCTGTTCAGAAAGGAATTATTCACTGAGTAATGAAGTTTCACCAAAATCTGGCAGGCAGCAAGGGGAGACAGAAAATAACTTCAAATAAGAGGCCGGGCGCAGTGGCTTAGGCCTGTAATCCCAGCACTTTGGGAGGCTGAGGCGGGTGGATCACGAGGTCGGGAGATCGAGACCATCCTGGCTAAAAAGGTGAAACCCCGTCTCTACTAAAAATACAAAAAAATTAGCCGGGCGTGGTGGCGGGCGCCTGTAGTCCCAGCTACTCGGGAGGCTGAAGCAGGAGAATGGCGTGGACCCGGGAGGCGGAGCTTGCAGTGAGCTGAGATTGCGCCACTGCACTCCAGCCTTGGCGACAGAGCGAGATTCCGTCTCAAAAAAAAAAAAAAGAAAAAGAAAAAGAAAATAACTTCAAATAAGAGATAAGACCCGTCAGCCAGGACAAGGAAGGGATCCACAAGCTGGACCAAGTGATAGAAGAGAAGCGCATTCATTATCTTGTATGGCACATCCCTAGCAGATCATCCTGGGTGTAATTTAGCTTACACCTTTTCTTGCTTATCAGACACAGCTCAGAAGCAAATAACTGAGAACAGGTGCATCAGCATTGGCTAAAGCTGCCAAACCTTTGGCAAATCTCACTGACTTAGGCCAAAAACCACACAAAGCTTCAGGAAATTTTCTACTAGCAAAGTTCTATTTATATGTCTAAATACGGAAGTTCAGGGATTTCAAATTCATAAACATATGATTTAGTACCTAAAGAGACTGTATCTGTGCCAAATAAATACAGATGCATATGGCATTCTACAACAGAAGAGGGATGGGTGAGTAGACAACAGATACATTAAGGTTTGCAAACATTACCTACATATGGAAGGAGACATTAGAAACTAATAAATGGTTGTCTCGGGAGAGGCATCTTGGTGACTGGGAGGCAAGGAATCAAGGGAAACTTACTTGTCTCTGAAAAGTCGGCCCTCCATTTCTGTGAGTTCTGCATTCATGGATTCAATAAACCATGAATAGAAAATATTCAGGAAAAAAGGGGCGGGCATGGTGGCTCACGCATGTAATCCCAGCACTTTGGGAGGCCGAAGCGGGCGGATCACGAGGTCAGGAGATTGAGACCATCCTGGCTAACACGGTGAAACCCCGTCTCTACTAAAAATACAAAAAAATTAGCCGGGCATGGTGGCACATGCCTGCAATCCCAGCTACTCGGGAGGCTGAGGCTGGAGAATGACGTGAACCTGGGAGGAGGAGCTTGCAGTGAGCCGAGATCGCGCCACTGCACTCCAGCCTGGGCAACAGAGCAAAACTCCATCTCAAAATAAATAAATAAATAAAAATAAGGTGGCTGGGCACAGTGGCTTACCCCTGTCATCCGAGCACTTTGGGAGGCCGAGGAGGGCAGGTCACGAGGTCAGGAGTTTGAGACCATCCTGGCTAATATGGTGAAACCCTGTCTCTACTAAAAATACAAAAAATTAGCCGGGTGTGGTGGCAGGTGCCTGTAGTCCCAGCTACTCAGGAGGCTGAGGCAGGAGAATCACTTGAACCCGGGAGGTGGAGGTTGCAGTAAGCCGAGTTCGCCCCACTTCACTGATGCCTGGGGTACAGAGCAAGACTCCATCTCAAAGTAAATAAACAAATAAATAAATAATAAAGTATACAGGAAATGTGTGTAGGTTATATGCAAACTGTACACTTTTTTTTTTTTTTTTTTTTTTTAAGATGGAGCTTCGCTTTTGTTGCCCAGGCTGGAGTGCAATGGCGATCTCGGCTCACTGCAACCTCTGCCTCCTGGGTTCAAGCGATTCTCCTGCCTCAGCCTCCCGAGTAGCTGGGATTACAGGCGCCCGCCACCATGCTCAGCTAATTTTTTTATATTTTTAGTAGAGACGGGGTTTCACTATGTTGGCCAGGCTGGTCTTGAACTCCTGACCCCATGTGATCCGCCCACCTCACCCTCCCAAAGTGCTGGGATTACAGGAGCAAGCCACCACACCTGGCCACTGTACACCATTTTATATTAAGGATTTGAACATCTGCAGATTTTGGTATCTGCAGAAGGTCCTGGAACCAATCCCGCATGGATACCAAGGGACAACTGCATATCCTTTGTACCTAGTGAATTTTGCTTCACGTGCATTTTGTTACATATTCAAAAGTAATAAAAATAAAAAGACTAACATGTTAAATCAGCTGATGATAACATTCATTTCCTATATGCAAATAGATTCAATAAACTGTATTGAACACCCATGTGTGCCACTGGAATATGAAAACAGATAGGCCTATAGTTATGGAAGATGTCACCATTGGAGAAAGCTGAGTAATGGGCTTACAGATGCTCTATGTACTATTTCTGCAACTTCTAATTATTTAAAAATAAAAACTAAATTTAAAAAATGGGGCCGGGCACAGTGGCTCACACCTATAATCCCAGCACTTTGGGAGGCCGAGGCGGGTGGATCACAAGGTCAGGAGATCGAGACCATCCTGGCCAACATGGTGAAACCCCGTCTCTTCTAAAAAATACAAAATAATTAGCTGGGCATAGTGGCGGGCACCTGTAGTCCCAGCTACTTGGGAGGCTGAGGCAGGAGAATGGCATGAACCCAGGAGACAGAGCTTGCAGTGAGCCGAGATTGCGTCACTGCACTCCAGCCTGGGCGACAGAGCGAGACTCCGTTTCAAAAAAAAAAAAAAAAAAAGACCAGGGCGGTGGCTTACATCTGAAATCCCAGCACTTTGGGAGGCCAAGGTGAGTCAAGTGAATCACTTGAGGTCAGCAGTTTGTGACTTGCCTGGCCAACAGGGTGAAACCCCGTCTCTACTAAAAAAATTAAAAAATCAGCCTGGCATGGTGGCATGCGCCGGTAGTCCCACCTACTCAGGAGGCCAAGGCAGGAGAATTGCTTAAACCTAGGAGGCAGAGGTTGCAGTGAGCCAAGATCACGCAACTGCACTCCAGCCTGGGGGACAGAGCGAGACTCCATCTCAAGAAAAAACAACAAAAAGCTAAATTTAAAAAATGGATTAACCAGTCTCTGTATTCAAGTAGTTCCTTTCTTTTTTCATTTCTTCCTTCTATCTGCAAACATTTATTACTATATGGGACAGATAAAGAAGTCAATAAAAGATTTTAATAAAATCTAAGTACACATTAACATTTTACAAAATAATTTTAAGACTTTGAGCCTTATGTTGCTTCTTTAAGGTGATCCAGATGTACGACATGCTAGCATTCTTCTACAGTATTTATATCTATTTCTGGAAACGTTCGTTTATTGTATTTAAACATCATATAATTCTCTTGAAAGGCACAATAGATGTTATATAGACAAGTAGCGGCAGTTCTTTCAAAACTCTTAGAAGTATCTCTTTGGCCTTTGAAGTATGCCATCAATCTATGTCTACTTTGAGCCTTAAGGCAGAAAGCCAATCTAGGCCCCAGCTCATCAGTAGTTTAAACCTTGCTTCAACCTGCCCCTGATTTGCAATGGCTGCCCAACTGGGAGTCACAAACTCCAAGAGTGCTCCAGGGGCCAGGCAGGGAATGTGACTGAGTGAAGTGGGCCAAATGTAAGCAAAAATAACCAGCAAATGAGATGGTAAATGACAACAGTGCTTCAAATGGTAACACCCTTGGGAGTGGTGGCCTTGGGAATGCATGGCCAGTCCAGAGGGCCACTCCAGCATGTCACTGCTGTGGGGAATGTGGACCTAAGATGCACAGATCTTCTGATTTGTTCAAAAGAAGTAAAAATTCATATTTGTTTGTAGCATCTCCTAGTTTTTAAATGTTCGCAATAGATTTTTGTTGTTGTTGTTTCGGAGACGGAGTCTTGCTGTGTCGCCCAGCCCGGAGTGTGTTGGCGCAGTCTCGGCTCACTGTAGCCTCTGCCTCCTGGGTTCCAGCGATTCTCCTGCCTCAGCCTCCTGGGTAGCTGGGATTACAGGCGCACGCCACCAAGTCTGGCTAATTTTTGTATTTTTAGTAGAGATGGGGTTTCGCCATGTTGGCCAGACTGGTCTCAAACTCCTGACCTCAGGTGATCCGCCTGCCTTGGCCTCTCAAAGAGCTGGGATTACAGGCGTGAGCCACTGTGCCCGGCCTAAATGTTCGTGACAGATTTTTAAAGATTAGTATTGCTGTGGAGCTAAATGAATACATCTACAGGCCATTTTTGACTCAAGAGACACAGAAGAGAAATTAGACAAAGTAGACGCTGATTGGACCAAGTGGTAAAATGATCACTTCTAAGCTATTAAGGTGAGGAAAAGGAAGAAGTTCCAAGATCTCACAAGTATAAATACTGCACTATATATAGGATACAGTTGTATTCGTGGGCAGCACCCTTGACCACAAGAGGCATCTGTCTTCAGGGTGCAGCATTTAATTGAAGTGGAAATGTAATCATATGCCTACTTGGCCAAGAAAGGCTGATGATGGATGAGGGATCATCAGACCTTCAAAAGATAGGGAAGTCAGGTTGCTTTTACACTGATCGTATCTCTATTTGAAGATAAAGAAAAAAGGATTGGGAGAAAACATCAGAAGGAAATAAAGGCCAATTACTTGCTTATGTCCAACAATATCAGACAGGAGGGCTTACCACAGAGGCGAGTTAATAGGAAAGAAGACAGTTTGGGTGAGAATATACACTCCATTCACTGTGAGTGGGAAACAACAACAGCTTGCAGGGAGGTAATAATGAACAGGAATTACTGACTCAACATCCCTTCCTAGGGTATCATCCTTCCTGGCCCATGCTATCTCTGGGGGGATGTCAATTACAGAGCTCAGTATCCCAACATAAGTGGGCATGTGACTCAGACTAGCCAATCAAAGCACTGCACTCCCCTAACTACAAGCATTGGTTCAGAAGTGGGCATGTGACCAAGGCAGGACCAATTAGAATCTTCCCTGAAATATGATCTATAGCAATTTGGGAGAGAAATCTTTCTTCTCCTCTCGCATCTCAAACTGTAAGGATTATGTAAACTTAAGCTGTGGCTTTTTTCCTCAACCGCATAGAAAATGCTGCTGTCGCTGCTGTTGCTGCTGCAGGAAAAAGGAGCAGAGACAAGCTGAGATGAGATAAATAAGAAGAGGAAGGATACTGGCTGCATCCATTGAGCACTTGGATCCATCCCTGTAACAAAAGACTCCTGACAAATACAGCTGTAAAGCTGACTAGTTCAGTGACTAGCAGCAGCAATAAGAGGTAGACACTCACATACAACATATGCACCAACAAACCAAAGAAACTGAGATTGAGGTGGATCAAGAAACCCAAACTTTGCTAAAATCAGTTGAGTCAAATATAGTTTCACTTTTCAATCTCTAGTATGTACCTCTCAAAGAATCTTTTGCAAATCAAGAAAAATGAAAAAGATTCCAAAGCCAGAAACCTAAAATAAAGAAGTGCTCTTTGTATTAATTAAGTGAATGAATGAACAAATACTCAGACTAGACTTCCTTATCATTTATTTTTAATTTTATTTTATTTTTCCTGAGACAGAGTTTCACTGTGTTGCCCAGGCTGGAGTGCATTGATCATAGCTCATTATAGCCCCAAACTTCTGGGCTTAAGCCATCCTCCCACCTCAGCCTCCTGAGTAACTAGAACTACAGACATGCACCTACCACACCTGGTTAACTTCTGTTTTGTTTTTGTTGTTTTTGTTTTTGTTTGTTTTGTTTTGTTTTTGAGACAGAGTCTCGCTCTGTTGCCCAGGCTGGAGTGCAGTGGTGTGACCCAGGTTCAAGCAATTCTCCTGCCTCGGCCTCCTGAGTAACTGGGATTACAGGCGTGAGCCACCATACCCGGCTAATTTTTGTATTTTTACTAGCGATAGGGTGTCACCATGTTGGCCAGGCTGGTCTTGAACACCTGACCTCAAGTGATCCACCAGCCTCGGCCTCTCAATCACGCTGGGATTACAGGCGTGAGCCAACATGCGTGGCCTGTTTTTGTTTTTGTTTTTGTTTTTGTAGAGACAGGATCTTGCTTTGTTGCCCAGGCTGGTCAAACTCCTGGCTTCAAGTGATCCTCCCACCTCAGCCTCCCAAAGTGCCACAGGCCTGAGCCATCATGTCCAGCCTCCTTATCATTTCAATTGAGGGCACTTAGAAGAAATAACTCACAACATAGAAGATGACAAATCCGTCATCTCCAAATGTGACATGGAATTCAAATAGGCCTCACGTTTTATTGCTGAAAGACACCTTAGAGATCAGAAAACCAAGACCTAGAACCTACAACAAGCTAATAGATCAATAAAAGTACACAGCATGGAGGTGCCCAGCCTCCTACACGGTCTCATGTATACACAGGTGCTATCTGGCAACAATTAAATACTGAGCACAGACATGATGTGGAAGAGGGATATCCCACAACCTTGCCTTCTTCGTTTGTGTATTTGGGGCACTGGCTTGCAGCAGTGCCACTTTCTTTGGTGTTGGTCAACTAGAGCCTTAAGGCTTTTGGAAGCTACAGCCACAAGGATCGAGAAAGCCTACTTTTATTCTACAGATACTTTCACAATGGTTTGCAAAGATTTACACTATATATATGTATATAGTATATAAACAGTATATACACACATACATTTATAGTGTATATATACTGTACATCTATAATATATACTATAGATACAGTATATACCACATATTGTATCTATACATATACTGTATATACAGTAGATATAAGGTTGATACTATGATATACTGTATATACTATAGATTAATAGTATATATACTATATAATATATACTGTAAAGATTTATAGTACAGACTAAATCTGTATATATACTGTAAATATATATGTATATGTGTATATTACATAGGTATCACATATACATATATACACACATGCATATATACATATTTTTGTTTTACAAAAAACGAATATGTAACCCTAAGATTCCATCTCATGCCCCTGCCTTCCCCTACTTAAGTTATCCATTATTTTGAATCCCTTGCTTCCCTTTTATATACTGTCTTTGCATCTGTATGTAATCTCAAATTTTATTTTTATTCATTTTCGTTGCTTTTACTTTTATAAGAGTATCATAATGAATATCATCTTTTGGGACCTTTCTTTATTTTTTTCCACTTCATAGTGTATTGATAATCTTTGTCCATATTATCAAGTCATTGGAGTTCACCTGTTTTGACTCTTGTATAGTGTTTCATTGCACAGATAATATCAGAGTTCATCCATTTCATTCTTCTCTTGATGGACATTCGGTCTATTTCCAAGTTTTGGATCTTGTGGAGCAAAAGTTTTTTTATCTAATACTTCTCTTAACATATAGTACATGTTAATACTATTAGCCTGTTTTCACACTGCTATAAAGAAATACCTGAGACTGGGTAATTTTATAAAGAAACGAGGTTTAATTGGCTTACAGTCCTGCAAGCTGTACAGGAAGCATACATGCTTCTGGGGAGGCCTCGGGAGCCTTACAATCATGGTGGAAGGTGAAGGGGAAGTAGGCACATCTTACAGGGCCGCAGCAGGAGGAAGAGAGAGAGGGAAGACGCTACACACTTTTCAATAACCAGGTCTCAGGATAACTCACTCACTCACTGTCAGCAGAGCAGCACCAAGGGGATGGTGCTTACTCATGCATGAGAACTCCATACATATGATCCAGTCACCTCCCACCAGGCCACCTCCAACACCGGGGATTACAATTCAACATGAAATTTGTTGGGGACATAGACCTAACCCATATCAACATGTCATATTTTACAATAGCCTGTAGGTTATTTTCTTTTTTTTTTTTTTTTGAGACGGAGTCTCACTCTGTCACCCATGCTGGAGTGCAGTGGCACGATCTCAGCTCACTGCAACCTCCACCTCCTAGGTTCACGCCATTCTTCTTCTTCAGCCTCCCAAGTAGCTGGGACTACAGGCGCCTGCCACCACGCCCAGCTAATTTTTTTTTTTTTTTTAGTAGAGACGGGGTTTCACCGTGTAAGCCAGGATGGTCTTGATCTCCTGACCTCGTGATCCGCCTGCCTCATCCTCCCAAAGTGCTGGGATTACAGGCATGAGCCACCGTGCCCGGCCTGTAGGTTATTTTCAAAGTCCTAGTTTTCATTCTGGATGGTGGGATCGTGGGTCTTTATTATATTATTAAAACTCGTTAACTGGCCGGGCACGGTGACTCATGCCTGTAATCCCAGCACTTTGGGAGGCCAAGGCGGGCAGATCCCCTGAGGTCAGGAGTTCGAGACCAGCCTGGCCAACATGGTGAAACCCCATCTCTACTAAAAATACCAAAAATTAGCCGTGTGTAGTGGCGGGTGCCTGTAATCCCAGCTACTCAATAGGCTGAGACAGGCGAATTGCTTGAACCCGGGAGGTGGAGGTTGCAATGAGATGAGATTGCACCATTACCATTGCACTCCAGCCTGGTCAACAAGAGTGAAACTCTGTCTCAAAAAAAAAAAAATTAAAACTCGCTAACTAACTAAATAAAAGCAAGCCATACATGGACCAATGACGCCAGTGTGTCATGACTAATCTAATTCTATACACCCGAGATCCAGAGAGAAAAATAAATCAGGAAAATATTATATATACTGTGATATGCCCTGTATTTTGTCTTAGAATGCTTGCTGTATCAGCACATCTAGGCCTATTTCACTTTTAACTGTTGCAGAATATTCTGGTAATGGACATAATATAATTTAAAATTTTTTAAATTTTATCTTGGAAAATTTCAAACATATTCAAAAGAGTGAATGGAACTGGATGAGCCCAGTTTCACTAATTATTAACATCTGGCCAGTCTTGCTTCAGCTTTTCCCCCATACTGTCTCCCTCCCTCCCCCTCTGCATTACTTTAAAGCAAATGTAGGCTATCATTTCATTTGTCCATAACTCCTTCTCTGTTGGTGGATGCAGGTTGTTTTCACTCTTTGGCTTCTACAAACACTGCTGCAATGAACGTCCTTGAAAATACAGTGAAATTATATATATATATATACTCCATATATATGTATATAAATATTTATATATTTTTCCTGGGATGGTACAGAAGAAACTTACCAGAATTATTTGGAAAAAAAGGAAAACTAGAAGTCAGGAATAAGAGATCAAACATATTAAAACCCTTTCTCTTATAGTGACAGAAAGCCATCTCAAATTGCCTTAGCAAAACAGATAATTTAGGCCGGGTGCAGTGGCTCAAGCCTATAATCCCAGCACTTTGGGAGGCCAAGGCAGGTGTATTACCTGAGATGAGGAGTTCAAGACCATTCTAAGCAACATGGTGAAACCCCATCTCTACTAAAAATACAAAAATTAGCTGGGCATGGTGGCGGGCGCTTGTACTCCCAGCTACTCAGGAGGCTGAGGCAGGAGAATAGTTTGAACCCGGGAGGCGGAGGTTGAAGCGAGCCGAGCTGGAGATCTTGCCACTGCACTCCAACCTGGGCAACAGAGTAAGACTGTCTCCAAAAAAAAAAAAAAAAAAAAAAAAAAAAGGTGCCAGGTGCGGTGGCTCACGCCTGTAATCCCAGCACTTTGGGAGGCTGAGGCGGGTGGATCAACTGAGGTCAGGCGTTCCAGACCAGCCTGACCAACATGGGAGAAACCTCGTCTCTACTAAAAAGACAAAATTAGCCAGGCATGGTGGCACATGCCTGTAATCCCAGCTACTTGGGAGGCTGAGGCAGGAGAATCTCTTGAATCTGGGAGGCAGAGGTTGCGGAGAGCTGAGATCGTGCCACTGCACTCCAGCCTGGGCAACGAGAGCAAAACTCCGTCTCAAAAAAAAAAAAAAAAAGCTAATTTAGTGATTTGCATAACTTCAAGGTCCAGAGATAATATATTGATAAGGTTTGGCTGTGTCCTCACCCAAATCTCATCTTGAATTGTAGCTCCCATAATTCCCACGTGTTGTGGGAGGGACCTGGTAGGAGGTAATTGAATCATGGGGGCGGGTCTTTTCCCTGCTGTTCTCGTCAGAGTGAATACGTCTCACGAGATCTGATGGTTTTATAAAGGGGAGTTTCCCAACACAAGCTGTCTTGCCTGTCACCGTGTGAGAAGTGACTTTGTTCCTCATTCGCCTTCAGCCATGATTGTGAGACATCCCCAGCCATGTGGAACTGTGAGTCAATTAAACCTCTTTCCTTTATAAATTACCCAGTCTCGGTTATGTCTTTAGCAGCATGAGAACAGACTAATACAGTAACTATATACATATATATATTTGTATATATATATATAAAATATATATATATATATTTTTTTTTTTTTGAGACAGGGCATCACTTTGTCACCCAGACTGGAGTGCAGTGGCACAATCTCAGCTCACTGCAGCCCCAAACTCCTGGTTTCAAGTGATCCTCCCACTTCAGCCTCCTGAGAAGCTGGAACTACAGGTACGTGCCACCAAGCCCAGATGATTTAAAAAAAAAAAAACTTTTAGTAGAGACAGGGTTTTGCCATGCTTCCCAGGCTGGTCTCGAACTCAAGTGATCCGCCCGCCTTGGCCTCCCAAAGTGCTGAGATTACAGGCGTGAGCCACCCTGCCTAGCTGAAGTCTAGAGATAATTTTGGGTTCAGACACTAATGGGACCAGGGGCTCAAAGATACTGTCAGACGCCATTGCTCTCCAGTTGGCTGCTCTGCTTTCCTCTGTGACGCCACTTTTCTCGTTTTTTTTTTACATGGCGGCCCCTCTCTTCCAGGCTCAGCTAATCCATGTTGCCAACACTCCTGGTGTAAAGAGAGCTCCTTTCCCCTCAGTGCCAACCCAAATCATGGGTTGACCCTCATTGGCCAGACCTGACTTATGTGCACCTTTCTGAACCAATCACTATGGCCAGGGAGATAGCCTCTGTTGATTGGCTAGACTTGGCTCATCTGCCCTTCTCTGGAGCAGGGGACCTGAGTCAGTACCTTGAAACTATATGGACCAAGCTTGGCTGATGACTGTGTCCCCTTAGTAAAGGAGGAATGGATGGCAGTCAGGCAAAACACATAAAAGCAAAAATAGACAGGGTAGTTGCTTCCTCTAAGGTCTTTTCCACCTCTCTCCCAAACCTCTGGTGGACAGGTGCTCCTCCCCCTGTTCTCCCACCTTCAGCAGGTCCCTCTTGGAGCTTGAATCATGTTGCAAAACATTCATCCATTTTTGTGCCCGTTTCCTCCTACTAGGCCATTTAACTCCCTGAGGACAAGGACTATGCCTTTTGCTTAGGCAGGTAATTAATCCCTGGCAAAATGCCTCCCATACAGTTGAATGGAACATAATGCTTCCCACACGTTCGCTAAATGAATGAATGACTCTTGAGTCTACACCAAAATAAAATCCTGGCATTCAAGGCTTGCTTTTTTCTTTACTTCTTTCTTTCTTTCTTTCCTTCCTTCCTTCCTTCCTTCCTTCCTTCCTTCCTTCCTTCCTTCCTTCCTTCCTTCCTTCCTTTCTTTCTTTCTTTCTTTCTTTCTTTCTTTCTTTCTTTCTTTCTTTCTTTCCTTCTTTTTGAGAAGGAGTCTCACTCTGTCACCCAGGCTGGAGTGCAGTGGCGCGATCTCGGCTCACTGCAAGCTCCGCCTCCTGGGTTCAGGCCATTCTCCTGCCTCAGCCTCCCGAGTAGCTGGGACTACAGGAGCGTGCCACCACGCCCGGCTAATTTTTTGTATTTTTAGTAGAGACGGGGTTTCACCGTGTTAGCCAGGATGGTCTCGATCTCCTGACATCGTGATCCGCCCGCCTCGGCCTCCCAAAGTGCTGGGATTACAGGCGTGAGCCACTGTGCCCGGCTCTTTCTTTCTTTTTCTTTCCCTCCCTCCCTCCCCTCCTTCCTTCCTTCCCTCCTAACAGGGTCTCCCTCTGTCATCCAGGCTGAAGTGCAGTAGCACCATCATAGCTCACTGCTGCCTCAAACTCCTGGGCTCAAGTGATCCTCCTGCCTCAGCCTTCCAAGTACCTGGGACTGCCATCTCAGTATGCCATCAAGTCTGGTTAATTTTTTTTATTTTTTGTAGAGATGGAGATCTCGCTATGTTGCCCAGGCTGTTCTTGAACTCCTGGTCTCAAGCCGTCCTCCCACCTTGGCTTCCCAAAGTGCTGGAATTGCAGGCGTGAGTCACAGCGCCTGGCCTCAAGCCTTTTTCTTAACTGGGCCCCGAACTACACCTCCTGCCTCTTCTGCACCTTCCATGGCCTATAGATCACCCACCCCCTCAAACATACCAGGCCCTTTCCTACCTCTGAGCCCTCATCCTGCTATTCCCTCAGCTTGACTGCCCTCCCTGATACCCCAAGTGTTCATGATGGAGGAATTGGGAAGGTTGATCACAAGACCCTGCAGTTGAAATTCCTGTCACAGAAACCTTTTGACTAGTCTACTTAACTTCTCAGGCCTCCACTTTTCTTCAAACTAGTCCACACATACCTGAAACTGTGTTTGAATGAAATGACCCTCCCTCTCTCCCTTGCTATAGTTGGTATAGTTGCTATACCAACTTGCAATAGTTGCTTCTTCTGGCTGAAGAAGTCAGAAGGAGGGTGCTAGTGAGTTGATGGGTGTTTGTGGAGCTGGGAGGCTTGGGGAGGCTGTTTCCTACTAGTAAAATGATAATAGCAACTTGGGTTTTATTGAGCATATATTATGTGCCAGGCACTGTGCCAATGGCTTTGCCCATGTTTTCTCCTGTGATCCTTACCTGGGGACTGTGGTATCCCTGTTTTGTAGGTGGGGAAGTAGGCTTGCCTGAGATCACAGAGGTAATAAATGGTGAAGCCAGGACTGGACCCAGATCAGATGCCAGAACCCTTGCTCTTAACCTTCAAATAGAGGGAAGAATAAAATAAATCTTCCATGAGAAGTAGAATTGGGAGACTCTATGGTCCCAGACAGGGTCAGTGGCTGCCTTGCCTCCTGATGGCTTTGCTGGACCTGGCTCCTGTCTTTCAGGAAGTTGTGCTTCCTGCCCTTAAGTTCCTAAACACATCCTTGAACCCTAACAATTTCTTCCCCTTTCTGCAAAAGCCAGCTCCTGTTTATTTTTCTCCACCACTGACAAGCTGTGTGGCCGAGGCAAGTTGCTCTCCCTCTCTGAGCTTGGGTTTCCTTGTCTATGAAATGCAGGCAATCCTTGCCCTACCTCAGAGGCATGAGAATTACATGAGATGATGGATGGGCCGTGGTGGGCCTGGAGACAGGCATGGGCATGCTCACAATGGCTGTGAGCTCGTATTCCCCCAGCTCCAAGCTCAGGTCAGACTCTGAGCCTCTTCATGCATCTGTTCCCACAGCACCTGGCACGAAGACTTGCTTATAGAAGGTGCTCACCAAATGCTTTCACTCACTTACAGAAGCCATGAGTGGCAGCCACTTCTGATATTCAGGAGTTCTTAACATCCCCGTGGCTCTTGAATCCTGGTGCTAGAGATATGGCCTGCACTCCTGTTTGTTTCTTCAGTGAGTTAATGATTTACCTCCTGTGTTAAATTTTGTTTAAACAGACATGACCCCGTTGGTGGCCAAGGCTCTGTCCCGTCCAAAGTGTCTCAGGGATCAAAGAAGCCCAAAGACACAGGACCCCTCCCACTGCCCCATTCCAGAATTGTCCTTTAGCCTGCTGGCATCTGCCTCTGCACCATGGTCTCTTCATGTTAGCCACCTTGCTTGTAGCCATGCTCTAGCCAGAGGCCCTTAGCCTCCTCTGAGAAGAGTCTGCCTCTCTCCAGGCCACAGCATAGCCATGTGCCCCCGAGGGCCCTGTTGTCCTTACCGCCATCACTATCTTTCTTCTTTCTTTCTTCTTTCTAAAGAAAATAGTGAAGGTAGAGACCCCATCCTCCTAGCCCTGGGGGAATGGACCTGCCTATGAGTAAGAGGACTGCCCTGCTCCTGGTGCGTGTGGGAGGTGAGCACGCCTCATCCTGCTACATGCCTGGTCTTCTCCAGCCTCTAGTCTGGGCTCCCTGTCCCCTGACTTTGCTGCTCCCCGCTCCAGCTTCCTGCCTATTAGTATTTTCCCAGGGCTGCTGTAGCAAATTACCACAAACTTGGTGGCTTAAAACAACAGAAATGAGGCCAGGCACAGAGGCTCACACCTGTAATCCCAGCACTTTGGGAGGCCAAGACAGGAGGATCACTTGAGCCCAGGACTTCGAGATCAGCCTGCACAACATAAGGAGACCCTGTCTCTGTTTCACAGTTCCGGAGGCCATAAGTCCTAAATCAAGGTGTCACCAGGGCCATCCTCCCTCCAAAGACTAGAGGATGCTTCCTTGTCTTTTTCAGCTTCTGGTGGCTGCCAGAGTTCTTTGGCTTGTGGCTCCCTCACTCCAATCTCTGCCTCCATCTTCACATGACTTTCCCCTTGGCTCTGTGTCTTTTCCTCCTGTGTCTATTATGAGGACAGTTGTCATTGGATGTAGACTCTACCCAGGTCATCCAGGAGGATCTCATCTGGAGATCACTGACTTCATTTTTTTTTTTTTTTTTTTTTTGAGACAAGAGTCTCGCCCTGTTGCCCAGGCTGGAGTGCGGTGGCATGATCCTTGCCCACTGCAGCCTCTCCTTCATGGGTTCAAGTGATTTTCTCACCTCAGCCTCCCAAGTAGCTGGGACTACAGGCGTGCACCACCACGGCCAGCTAATTTTTGTATTTTTAGTAGAGACGCGGATTCACCATGTTGGCCAGGCTGGTCTCAAACTCCTGGTCTCAAGTGATCCGCCCGCCTCAGCCTCCCAAAGTGCTAGGATTACAGGCGTGAGCCACCGTGCCCAGCCTAATTTCATACTTTTCCCAAATGAGATCACATTTACAGATTGTAGGCAGACATATCTTTTGGAAGGGCCACCTTTCAACCCACTGCAACTAGTATCAACTGAGACCAGAAGAATATGGGCATGCTAGGTAGTAAAAACAAAATCAGCAGTCCAGGTGTGGTGGCTCATGCCTGTAATCCCCGCACTTTGGGAGGCTGAAGTGGGTGGATCACAAGGTCAGGAGTTCAAGATCAGTCGGGCAAAGATGGCTAAACCCTGTATCTACTAAAAATACAAAACTTAGCCAGGCATGGTGGCAGGTGCCTGTAATCCCAGCTACTCGGGAGGCTGAGGCAGAGAATTGCTTGAACCCGGGAGGCAGAGGTTGCAGTGAGCCAAGATTGCACCACTGCACTCCAGCCTGGGTGACAGAGCAAGACTACATCTCCAAAACAAAACAAAACAAAAAAATCAGTGAAGGATAGAGAGCCCAGCCCTTTAGAAGTGAAGGAAGGTCAAGGTACTTGTGGCTGGAGAACAGGAGAGCAATGAGAGGTGAGGTGGCAGGGGGCTGGCAGGGGTAGGGTGGTCGGGGCAAGTTGTGCAACCCTAACAGACCAAGACAAGAAGATGGGACAGCCACAGGATGGTTTTAAGTAGGGAAATGATATTAATCAATTGCCATTGATTTTTTTTCCTTTTTTCTTTTTTTCCTTTTATTTTATTTTTTTATTTTTGAGACAGGGCCTCCCTCTGACACTCAGGTTGGAGTGCAGTGGTGTGATCATGGCTCACTGCAGCCCCGAACTCCTGGGCTCGATGAATCCTCTTACCTCGGCCTCTTAAGTAGCTGGAGCTATGGGCACATGCCACCATGCCTGGCTCTGCCATTGATTATTGAACAACTAGTTATCCACATAGAAAAAAAAAAGTGTGTGTGTCAGGGGAAGATTCCTGCATCACAACATACACAAAAATCAACTTCAAGAAGATTAAAGTCAGCCGACTGTGCTGGTTCACACCTGTAATCCAAACACTTTGGGAGGCCGAGGTGGGTGAATTGCTTGAGCCCAGGAGTTCAAGACCAGCCAGGGCAACATGATGAAACCCCATCTCTACTAAAAATACAAAAATTAGCTAGACGTGGTGACAGGCACCTGTGGTCCCAGGTACTTAGGAGGCTGAGGCATGAGAATCGCTTGAACCTGGGAGACGGAGGTTGCAGTGGGCCAAGATAGAGCCACTGCCTCCAGCCTGGGCGAGAGTCTCACTCTGTCTCAAATAAATAAATAAATAAATAAGCTGTACAAACATGCAAAACAATACCACTTCTTGTTAGGCCATACGTATGGATGTAATAAAATTATAAAGAATTACATGAGAATAATAAACATCAAGCTTAGAATAGTATTTACTTGGGGGAGGGGAAAAATAAGTGATTGAAGAGCACACAGGGGTTTTCTGCAGTTTGGGGATGTTTTTCTTTTCTTTTCCTTCCTTCCTTCCTTCCTTCCCTCCCTCCCTCCCTCCCTTCCTTCCTTTCTCTTTCTCTCTCTTTTTTTTTTTGAGACAGTCTTATTCTGTTGCCTAAGCTATAATTCAGTGACATGATCACTGTTTACTTCAGCCTCAAATTTCTGGGGCCAAAGCAATCCTCCCACCTCAGCCTCCCAAGTAGCTAGGACTATGGGCATGCGCCAACACACCTGGCTAATTTTTTAAATTTTTTTCTAGAGATGGGGTATTTTTTTTGAGACAAGGTCTGGCTCCGTCGTCCGAGCTGGCGTGCAGTGCTGCAAACTCTGCCTCCCAGGCTCACTGCAACCTTAGTTCACTGCAACCTCCACCTCCTGGCCTCAAGCCATCTTCCCACATCAGCCTCCCAAATAGCTGGGACTGTGGGTGTGCACCACCATGGCAGCTAATTTTTTTTGTTGTTGTTATGGAGATGGAGTCTTGCTCTGTCGCCCAGGCTGGAGTGCAATGGCGCTGTCTCAGCTCACTGCAACCTCTGCCTCCGGGTTCAAGTAATTCTCCTGCCTCAGCCTCCCAAGTAGCTGAAATTACAGGTGCATGCCAGCATGCCCAGCTAGTTTTTGTATTTTTTGTAGAGACGGGGTTTCACCATGTTGGTCAGGCTGGTCTCGAATTCCTCACCTTGTGATTCGCCCACCTCAGCCTCCCAAAGTGCTGGGATTACAGGGGTGAGCCACCACACCCAACCTAATTTTTGTATTTTTATAGAGACGGGGTTTCACTATGTTGCCCAGGCTGGTTTCAAACTTGTGAGCTCAAGTGATTCACCTAGGCCTCCCAAAGTGCTGGGATTACAGGTGTGAGCCACTGCACCCAGCCAATGTTTTATTTCTTTTCTTTTCTTTTTTTTTTTTTTTTTGAGATGGAGTCTTGCTCTGTCGCCTGGAGTCTCGCTCTGTCGCCCAGGCTGCAGTGCAGTGGGGCCATCTTGGCTCACTGCAAGCTCCGCCTCCCAGGTTCACGCCATTCTCCTGCCTCAGCCTCCCGAGTAGCTGGTACTACAGGAGCGTGCCACCATGCCCGGCTAATTTTTTGTATTTTTAGTAGAGACGGGGTTTCACCGTGTTAGCCAGGGTGGTCTCCATCTCCTGACCTCGTGATCCGCCCACCTCGGCCTCCCAAAGTGCTGGGATTACAGGCGTGAGCCACCACTGTGCCTGGCCTATTTCTTAAGTCATGTGGTGGGAACAAAAATGTTTGTTGTGTTGTCCTATATATCTTTTGGTATTTCAAATTTTTTTATTTTAAAAAAGAGAT